>NC_000007.14:95840112-96143142 GCF_000001405.40 Homo sapiens | reverse complement strand
CTTTTTGAGTACAAAACATGGTCAGTGAAGCAATGACAGCTGGGATCCATCAAGCACTGTTGAAAAGTTTTCAAATTCTATAATCACAAATTAAACCTTGATTCTACCTTGGAGGGTCACTTAGGAATATGGACTCTGTCTGCTGTGTTCTAATCAAAGGCGTTGTTTTTTTCCACTGCATTTGACAGTATTCAAAGATATTTTTATCCATATACATAAATGTTGTATACATGTGTTCATCTATAATGTGTGTATAAATGATTCATTGGAGCTATTGTTCATAAACTCAGAAAGCAAGTTATGATATATCAGTACATTCTTATTTATTCTGCCAGTTATCTCAAAGAGAGATTGATTTTTTTAGTTTAAAAAGTAAAATATAATTTATATTTCAAAAAAATCAAGTAATTTAGAAAGGTGTATGAAGAAAAGTAAAATTATCTCTCTACCCTTTACTGCTCCATTCTCTTCAAAGGATAGCCACTGCTGAAGATTTTATATTAATATATCCTTAAAAAAAGAAAAACTTTCTGCTCAGATTAGTATTTCTCTTTCAAAAATTTTACGAATATCAGCATCAGAAAAGTATGTATGTTTTCCATAGCAAAGACATAGAATCACCCTAGGTTACCATTAACAGGAGATTGGATAAGGAAAATGTGGAAACTACACACAATGGAGTACTAGACAACCATAAAAAAGAACTAAATTATATCCTTTGCAGCAACATGGATGCAGCTGCAGGCCACTATCCTAAGCAAATCAATGCAGAAACAGAAAACCAGATATCACATTTTCACTTGTAAGTTGGAGCTGAACCTTGGGTACACATGAGCACAAAGACACCAACAGGAGGAAGGGAAAGAGGAAAGGAGGAAAGGGCTGAAAAGCTTCCTTTCAGGTACTCTGCTCAGTACCTAGCTGACAGGATTAATAGAAGCCCAAGCCTCAGCATCATGCAATATATCCTTGTAACAAACCTGTATGTGTACCCCCTGAATCTAAAATTAAAATGAAAGGAGAATATTTTACTTTTCTTAAGTAAAATTGTGTTTTAACACAAATAGAATCTTTTCAAACACAATATATCTTAAAGCTCTTTCCTCATTTTATTTAATAACTATGGAAATTTTTTTGTTTAACTGTTTGCTGTTGATGAATATGTTTCTAGTTTGAAGATATATCAAGCAATGCCATGGTGATCATCCCTATGTATATTTTGACATACTTTTGTGATTGCTTAGAAAAGATAAATTCCTAGCATTGAAGTTGTTAGGTCAAAGGACATGTGCACTTTTTAGTGTTAATAGATTTTATCCAGTTTTTTTCAGTTTATCCCTTTTTTCTTGGTAACATATAAGTACTCATAAGATTAATTCTTCAGTTTATCATCTTTTAAAAACTTGTATTTTTACGTGCTCACAGCCGGACCTGAAGGAAGCAGTTGTTTAGTCTACTTTGAGAACACATTGCCATTCTAGTTTTCTGATACCCAGGGACATGCTGTGGTTTTACAACCAGCCTAGTGGTAGTTCTCACCCATCCATTTCTACTTTTATCCTTCATCTGAGCATCTGTGAAAGCCTCTTCAGGGCTTTCTTTATTTTGTCTCTTGACTCTCCTAAATCCACTGTTGCCACAGCAGCCAAAGTGATCCATTTAAAATGTAAATCATATTAATTCACTCACTCAACACACTCATTGAGAGCTTACTGTGTGCCAGGCACTGTTCCAGCCTTTAGGAGATGGCTGTTTAAAGCCAAGTCCCTGCTCACAGTATATTGGGTAGGACAGGGCAGCTATCAAGAGAACAAAGATATGGCCGAGCATGGTGCCTTACGTCTGTAATCTCAGTATTTCAGGAGGCCAGGGCAATCTCTTAATGCCAGGAATTCAAGACTAGCCTAGGCAGCATAGCAAGACACCATCCCTCCAAAAATAAATAAATATAAGTTAGCGGGGCATGGTGGTACACATCTGTAGTCCCAGCTACTTGGGAGGCTGAGGCAGGAGAATCACTTGAACCCAGGAGTTCGAGGCTGCGGTGAGCTATATGATTGCACCACCACACTCTAGCCCTAGCAACAGAGTGAGATGCTGTGTCTAAAAAAAAAAAAAAAAAAGAAAGAAAAAAGAAAGGAATGCGCAAAATTAATATGACATCAGCTGGTGCTACCGTGAAGAAAAAGAAGCTGATTTTAAAAATGAGCAAAGGACTAGAATAGATATTTCTCCAAAGAGGACATACCAATGGCCAACACGTATGTATGTGAAAAAAGGATGTAAAAAATTTTCAACATCACTAATCATCAGGGAAATGCAAATCATAACTACAATGAGATAGCACTTCATACCTGTTAGGATAGCTATTAGCAAAAAAAAAAAAAAACAAAAGATAAGCAATGGTGAGGTTGTGGAGAAATTGAAATCTTTGGTGGTAGGCCAGGCGCGGTGCCTGACGCCTGTAATCCCAGCACTGTGGGAGACCGATGCGGGCAGATCACGAGGTCAGGAGATCAAGACCATCCTGGCTAACATGGTGAAACCCCATCTCTACTAAAAGTACAAAAAATTAGCCGGGTATGGTGGACGTGCCTATAGTTCCAGCTACTTGGGAGACTGAGGCAGGAGAATCACTTGAACCCGGGAGGTGGAGGTTGCAGTGAGCTGAGATTGTGCCACTGCACTCCAGCCTGGGTGACAGAGGGAGACTCCGTCTCAAAAAAAAAAAAAAAAAAAAAAAAAGGAGATCCTTGGTGGTAGAAATGTAAAGTGGTACAGTCTCTGTGGAAAACAGTATGGAGTTTTCTCAAAAAGTTAAAATAGAACTACTATATGATCCAGCAATCCCCCTTCTGGGTGTACATCCAAAAGAATGGAAATCAGGCCGGGCGCGGTGGCTCACGCCTGTAATCCCAGCACTTTGGGAGGCCGAGGCGGGCGGATCACGAGGTCAGGAGATCGAGACCATCCCGGCTAAAACGGTGAAACCCCGTCTCTACTAAAACTACAAAAAATTAGCCGGGCGTAGTGGCGGGCGCCTGTAGTCCCAGCTACTTGGGAGGCTGAGGCAGGAGAATGGCGTGAACCCGGGAGGCGGAGCTTGCAGTGAGCCGAGATCCCGCCACTGCACTCCAGCCTGGGCGACAGAGCGAGACTCCGTCTCAAAAAAAAAAAAAAAAAAAAAAAAAAAAAAAGAATGGAAATCAGATATCTGAAGGAGATGACTACCAGGTTCATTGCAACATTATTACAATAGACAAGCTATGAAATAACCCAAATGTCTATCAACAAAGGAATGCATAAAGAAAATATGGTATATTATAGCCTTAAAAAGGAAGGATATCCTGCTTTTGCAATGAGATGGATAAGTCTGGAAGACATTATATTAAGTGAAACAAGGCAGTCACAGAACTTCAAATACTGCATGATTCTATTCATATGAGGTGTCTAAGTGTACATATTCTTGATGTATGAGAGAGAGTGACTGAGTCTTTTCACAAATATACCAACATCAAAAATTGAAATAAGTAAATAAATAAATAAAAATGTTGTGCCTTACTCCTGATGGACTTTTATTCTCTCATTTAAGGAAGGATTTTTAGAAATTTAAGGAGAGGGTATCAAGTATACCTCAAGGAGTCAGGTTTTGTATCTAATATGTGTGAACATTTGAAAAATACTACAGGTCATGTAATGTCCATAATCTCTGCTTAAAGCTTGTATTAAACAAAAACTGGAAAAAAAAAGAACTTTTAAAAAATAATTTCAAATTTTATTTTACATTGGAGGGAACATGTGCGGGTTTGTTGCACAGGTATATTGCATGATGCTGGGATTTGGGATATGAATGATTCAGTTACCCAGGTAGTGAGCATAGTACCCAATACTTAGTTTGAAAAAAAAATTTTTCTTTTTACGAAACTTCCCCTGTGCTTCAGATGAATCATTGACTCGTGTGTAGAAAGAGGATAATAATCATACCTACCTATTCATAGTATCGTTGTGTGGATTTACTAAAATAATGCATGTAAAGCATACAGGATAGAGTTGAGCACATAGTACACATGATGTGTTAGTTGTTATCAACTTTTCATTATTGAGTGTCAACTAAGGGATTCTTGCAGGAATACCTAGTTTCTTCCACATTATTCCAGTCCTGGGTAATTTCCAATGCTGTGTGGTCAACAACCTCTCCAGGCCAGGTCTTCTGCTTTGAACTTTAGAATAGCAAATTAAAAGGAGATGGCTTGAAAAATATTATTTTTATAAAACAATGCCCAGAGGAATTGAGTGTGCTAAAGACACCAGAAAAAAAGGATTCCTTAAAGTAACAGCAAATGATCAATTTTTTTAACCATTCTTTTATTCTTTCACCAAATGTATATTGAATGCTAACACTATTAGATGCTAGAGTACCAAAGATGTGTACAGTATCATTGCCTTAAAAATGATCTATGTTAAGGGGCAAGAGAAGAGAAACATATAATTCTAGTGCCAGCACTTTGGGAGTGCAGGAGTTCAAGACCAGCCTGGGCAACATAGTGAGACCTCATCTCTACACAAAAATATTTTTTTAATTAGCTAGACATGGTGTCATGCACCTGTAGTCCCAGCTACTTGGGAGGCTGAGGGGGGAAGAGCACTTGAGCCCAGGGGGTCAAGGCTGCAGTGAGCCATGATTGCACCACTGCACTCTAACCTAAGTGATAGAGCAAGACTCTGTTTCAAAAAAAAAAAAAAAGAAAAAGAAAAAAATGCAACAAATTGCAGGTGTAGGATAATTGAAAATAATCCAGACTAGACACATCAGAGGAAAACTGCTGAACACCAGAGCTAGAGAGAAGCTCTTTAGTGGCCAGAGAAAAAAAGTCAATTTGCCTTCAAAGGGGCAACAGTTGAACTGACGGCTAACCTAAAAATGGCAACAGTGGAAGCCAGAAGACAGTTGAATGGGGTGTCTTCAGTATGTGGAGGAAAAAAACTTTTCAACCTAGACTTGTATACCCTGTAAAAATTGCTTTTAAGAACAAGGGTAAAGATATTTTTTAGACTAGCAAAACTCAGAAAGTGTGTCACCAGTAGAACCTTAATGAAGGAAATTCTGGAAGGTGATCCCAGGTGGAGATGTGTCAGGAATGAATAGCAAAAAAAGTGGTAAATGTTTAGTCTTGTTAAAAGTAAAACTTCAGCCAAAGTAAGGGAGTTTAATTGTACAATGAATGATTCGTGAATCAGGCAGCCCCCAGAATCACAGCAGAGAGTGCTGAGGCGGGCAGATCACAAGGTCAAAAGGTCAGGACCATCCTGGCCAACATGTTGAAACCCCATCTCTACTAAAAATACAAAAATTTGCTGGGCATGGTGGCGCACGCCTGTAGTCCCAGCTACTTGGGAGGCTGAGACAGGAGAATTGCTTGAACCAGAGGTGGAGGTTGCAGTGAGCCAAGATTGCACCACTGCACTCCAGCACTGTCTCAAAAAATAATAATAATAAAGAAATAAAGAAAAGGTGGAACATGTTTTACAGATGAGCTTTGTGAAGGTGACATGACTAGCAGCTTCAGGACTAAAATTCCATGTGATAACATTCCTCTGTACCATGTCTAGGATTTTCAGTCCATCTCAGTGATGAGCATTGTTGATGGCAAAGCAGTGTACAATACTAGAACAATAGAGAACTAGCACTGACCCAAGCAGCATTTCCTACAAGAAACAGAGTTGTCAAGATGATTTTGTTAGAATTGCAATGAAATTAAGGAGAACCCATATCCCTAAAGTCCCTGGATTAAAGAAGCCAAGTAATAGTCATTCATATTTCATATTCAAATTGAAGTAATTTCCATGTTCACTGATATCAAGTCTTCAAATGTTGGCTGGCTTATTTGGTTTTAACACAAGTGACACAATCACATAATAGGTCTTGGCACCATTGCTATTTCTCAGCAAGACACTCAAACTCACCCTCCTCAAATCTCAGCCATGTAGGTGGGGTCTAACCATCCTTTGACTGGGCTGGAGAGGCACTGCCAAGCTGTGTATCTAAGGGTTAACTTGCTTGGGGGAAGCCAAGAGGAATGCTAAGGGATCAAGTCATGACATGCTGCCCATTGTTTGTAGCTCTGGGATCAAAATATATAATTATACATGCCAAATAAATTCTAAACCTGTAAGGTAGGAAAAGAGGGCTGGGTGGCTCTGACGACAGGTGCCAGAAGCATTGAATAACCTTCTCAGACAAGGTGCACCACTGTTGTCTTGAATGCTGCAGGGTCCCCAGTCTGGCATTTTCCCCGTGCTAGACAATGTGCATTCACTGCTGGAGTCTCTGTTAAGCCTCCGTCTCCCAGACCTGCTGGCTCCTGGTGCCCGGCCCGACACAGAGGTGCCTTTGTGAGTGTAATTACCTTTCCCTGTATTAGAAATAGTCTGTTTAGAGCTGTGTTTGCAGGTACAGCTAGAATAAGCAGGAATTAGCATGCAAAAAGACCTGCCCTGGCCCTGACTTCTTTATCAGCACCATCCTTCAGGACTGGTTTTTTCCCCACTTTGGATTGATTGGGCAGGTGATTTACCATCCAAGATGAAGAGTTTTAAAAGAAGAAAAAGAGACATCGGAAATTGCTGTGCATGTGCAACAGCATGCGTGCGAGAGAAAGAGAGATACAAATCCTGTTGTGTTATATCTATTGACAGTTTCATACCAGGCAGAGCTGGCAAAATAAACTTGAGTGGACGATCCTAGCAACTTGAGAATTGATTAAAGCTTCCTTGGGCTTTCAGCACAGTGTCCACATCAAAAAGGCATGAGAAGCAAAATAAATGATTCTTTTGCCATGATATGCTGCCGCCAGAATCTCTAAGCCTATCTAATTGGCCTGTGTCAATTGTGGACTATTAATTTGAAGTTAAGTGAGGCCTACCCTTAAAGAAGCTTTTCTAGATCTTAAATAGGATGATGATGGAGAGACTTTGGCATGATATAGAATTGGAATGGAGGCAGAGTTGATAATTAAACTAGATCTGAGGGTTTTTTCCCAGTTTATAACGTAGGTCTACCCTGAGATGATTTTTGTTGTCCCTGTCTGGATATTAGTGTGCCTTTTATTTAAAAAGAAAAACCCAATAGTTTATCATCTTTAGAGAGATTAGATGATTGTATTTTGCATTTATTAATTTTCCCCAACTGATTATAGTATATACTGAGGAAATTCAGGACCAATCAGAGAATGTTTAAGGGCAGAGCTGCCTAGAAAACCAGTTTAAAAAAAAAAAAAAAAAAAACCAAAGCAGGAAAATGTGGGGATTTTCTTATATGGCAGGAATGTTTAAATATTTTTTTTTAAGTGGCACACCTTTGTAACTTATTAATTCTCAAATGGCCAAAGTAATATTTTTGTGTTGCTGATGCAGGCTCTAGGGCAGCATGGAATGTTTCCCTTTGTTATAAAGTTGCCTTTTCAGAATGGCTGATCTCTTGGTAAAAATTATACATGGAACAAGTAGAATTCAAGTCAAACAGGTTTATGTTTTGCTGTAGTACTGGAGAATGGGTGTTCACCACAAAGTGAAGGATTTATCAAGGAATCTGGGAGAGAAACATTTTCCCCCTTAGAACTTTAAGTCTTTTTAACATCCTGCTTCCCTTTTCATTGTGCAAGAGCAACAGGTCAGGTATTGCCTAAGGCAGTCTTACAAATTGGCACCTGCCTTTATGCCTAAGACCTAAAGGAAGTGGTGGGGAAAAAGAGGCCAGGGAAATTTAATAAGTCTCTGTCTTTCCTTGGGAATTGGGCTTTGATGCCTGGGGTGCAAGAGAGGTGAAGGGCCGCCTCCTGACGCAACTGGGAGAGGTATTTTCTGCAGGGAGACACCAGAGAAGGTGCTAGGAGAGGCAGGGAGACACAGCCCTCAGGTGAACACATTTGTGTCCTTTAATGTTTGTAATGCAGTGGATACCTTACAAGGACTTTCACACATATTACTTCATTCATTCCTAAAGTTTCAGTTGTCCCAGTCACCTGAAGAAGATGGCCTTTGGTATTTTTGACAGGTGAGGAAGCTTAAGAGCTTGATTTCTACAGGTGCTCATCACATGGCTAGGGGTGACAGGATGATCACACCAGGTGGAAGTTCTTTTGCTTCCTTGACTTTTCCATTTCTTCCTTTTTCTCAGGTAATCAGACACCAAAGACTTCTTGCATATCCTAACATTTGTTCTAGTCTGCATAAACACTTTGACCACATTGCTTGATTCCTGGAAAACGAAATACAACCCATTTCTAGGCATTTTTCCTTTAGTGTTGCAATTCTACCCTTTCCTCAGGGTTATATATATATATATATATAAAATTGTTTGTATGTTTGGTTTTTAATCAAGCCATTTCTCATCTCAGCCATGTAGAGTTGTTTTCCAGCATCTCTTGAAGTACATCTCACATCTCTTGTAGATGCCATTGTAACAGGGATACATGATTTACTGTCATGATTTCAGGAAAGGAAGAAGAAGGAGGTTCTCAGAAGGTGGAACACTCAGTGGGTCCTTCTTCAGAAGACCCAACTGATTCTTCATGTGCCTTTACTCTTCCTGTGCCTCAGGGATGTTTATAATTTCGAGTCATGTCTTCCCATGGCCTTCTGATCATACTGAAGCCACATAGCATAAGACAGGTTAATCTGCTTCTCTTTCTCCCCTCGCCCCCTTTTTTTAAACTTTAATGTTTCAATACAAAATTAGTGACTGTTTCCTCCTACGTTTTGTTACATTCCCAACAAATAATATGTCTTTGTTTGAAAAGCTAAAAGTGGCCAGGCGCAGTGGCTCAATGCCTGTAATCCCAGCACTTTGGGAGGCCAAGGTGGGTGGATCACCTGAGATCAGGAGTTGGAGACCAGCCTGCCCAACGTGGTGAAACCCCGTCTCTACTAAAAATACAAAAAACTAGCTGGGCGTGGTGGCAGGCACCTGTAGTCCCAGCTACTCAGGAGGCCAGGAGGCTGAAGTAACAGAATCGTGAACCCGGGAGGTGGAGGTTGCAGTGAGCTGAGATCATGCCACTGCATTCCAGCCTGGGCAACCTGGGCAACAAAGTGAAACTCCATATCAAAAAAAAAAAACAACAAATGAAAGAAAAGCTAAAAGCTTGGTTTTAGTTTCTGATATGTTTTTCCAAGAAATAATGTTTTTTAATTTTTATTTTTTATTTATTTATGTTTTTTATTAAGATGGAGTCTTACTCTGTTGCCCTGGCTGGAATGCAGTGGCATGATCTCAGCTCACTACAACCTCCACCTCCGGGTTCAAGCGATTCTTCTGCCTCAGTCTCCCGAGTAGCTGGGATTAAAGTGATCTTCATTTGAGTTGATTATTTGATGTCTAATTTGAGTATCTTCTGGACTGAATCTACATGTGGATGAATAGCTAGCAGCACTTACAAGAAGGCTTGGGGCAAAAAGGGAAAAGGAAGGAAAAACAGAAACTAAACGCTGATATTGTTAGCCTTATACAATAACAGCCCGAATTATAACTTTTTAAAAAACTAGTTGTAAGAAAAGGATTGGATGTTACACACAGTTATTAACATTATACTGTATGTTTTCCCTTTGAAAGAGCTGGGAGAAGTGGAAAAAACTCTTAGAGTATTGAGTTTTGGACTTGTCTCTGGAACTACCTCCAGGGTGCCCTCTGAACAAGCCAAGGGCATAGCCCTCGGTAAATGCACAATTGATAGATTACCCATCCAGGACGATAGATTACCTGTCCAGGACGTTAGTTTGTACGTGCCTAAAATGACTAGCTTGGGTGTGGTGGATATTGTGATTCTTAATTAGACATCTAACACTTTGGGGGTGGACAAGATACAGAAGCCTGAGCCGGTTGGCAGTACATGAGGTAGATGAGTGCTTCTCTGAATACCTGTATACACAGAGTGAACAGAGGCATGCTTACACATCCATGGGTAAGTTGACTGAGGAAGAGCCAACATGACAGAATCCAGATTCCAAGCATTTGTTCTGGTTGGCAGGATGAGCCAAACTAGGATGCAACTTAATAGGATTAAATCTGATGTCCTGCCTGTGTTACTTGTGTGAGGCAACTAATTAAGTTATAGTAGACTTGAGTTAATAGTAATTCATATGAAAAAGACTAAGGGTTTTATTACCCACAAGCTCAGTTTGAGTCAGGAGTGAAATGTGCGTGTCAGGAAAACAAAGGCTATAGTAACAGATACATAGTGTTAAATAACTTTGACAGTTTGGAGCATCAGACAGAAATACCCAAGATCCAGCATTACTAGGCCTCAATAAGTGTCACTGGGTGTGGCTAGATCTGTTGACTCTGGCTGGATTCATTATTTTCTTTTGGGAATCTCTGTATTTGGTGGAAATTTTTAGTTATTAGAAATCTGTTAAAGAAATGGTATTAAATCATTACATGTTGAAAAGTGATGATTTCCTTCCTATTCACCCTACCCAAAACACAATATATGTGTTGTGGTTTTCATCATAATATATCATATTTCTGGGCACTCATCAATTCGCGGGGCCTCTGCATGGCATTATGTTGGCAACAGAAACTATTTGTTGAAGACTTTGCTGTAGGAACTGATTGTTCTACACACAGCTTTAAAATGTATCCGAATTATTGTGAATATTTCAGGCTTTAGAGCAGGCATTTATCAATGTTTCATAAACCCTGGGTGGCAGGTAAGTAAGTATATAATAAAATTAGAAGGATCCATGAACCCCCTGAAAAGATATAATTTTTTATGTATGTGTAATTTCTTTCTGGGAAACAGTCCAAACGTACAAAAAGCAAACCCCTTTTCCCCCCACCTGTATAATTTGTCTACTTCCTAGTGTGTAAACAAAGAGGCATCTTGACTGCCGTTACCCGTCTTTGGTGAGACCAGAGAACAGATCTTCCTTGAAATGCCAGTGGCTTGCCACCAGTAGGGATTTAAAAGGATGTCACAGGCAGAGTTCCAAAAAGGTTTTAATTGAAGTCTTAGCATTAGAATAAATGAGAACTGCCCTCCTCCCATCACAGCACACAACAAAACTAGTTTTTGTTTTAAAAACAAAGTTTAGATTTATTACTTGCAGAATTTGGGTTATTTTTTTCTGTTCCCCTTTCAATGTGTGAGTACAAATTTGGTCTTCTCCAGGAATATTTTGTTCTGAGGTGAGTTCCAGAGAAGCTTGATCTCCTCAATGGGATATGTGTTTCATGTGGTTTTTCTTCCTTTGCAAATGTGCAGGGTGCCAAAGCATGCTTTCTGCGGGACATTCCTTTCTCGGCCATCTACTTTCCGTGCTATGCTCATGTGAAGGCTTCCTTTGCAAATGAAGATGGGCAGGTTAGCCCAGGAAGCCTGCTCTTAGCTGGTGCCATAGCTGGTGAGTGTCCCCCATGGAGTTCTCTTACTTCCCTGACCCTTGCTGCCCCCCTTCCCTAGCTGCATGCTACTACATTGAAATTTTTTTGCTGATAGTTCTTGACAGGGTATGTGTGAGTTTGCTAGAGATTGAAGAGCTACTGAAAAAAAAGGGAAAAAATTAATCTTCATTCTGGCAGATGAGATTATTAGACAAGCTTAATTTCTTAACTCTAGAAAAGGCTCATTAAATATTGGCTTATTTTGTGGTATTGTGGAACTCCAATTCAAGTTCCATATCATTTCATAGTCTCACTTCACAGCATAAGAATAACTGTTTAGCTGGAAGTTTTTAAAGATTTGAATAGGTTTGTCTTAAAGATGTCTAAAAAAAATAGTGCATAAAAGCCTGTCCAGAACTTAAACAATAGTTAGAGAAAAGAAATGTAGTAGAACCAGAAAAGACCTGGGCCAATTAGAGACACCTGTTTCCTCCCTGTGTTACGGGGGGATGGTGGTAATTAAATCACAGATGGAAATAACTATCTTCTTTTTTTCAGTGCTCCATTGAAAACATCGATAGAAAATAATTAACCATGCCAGGGATCAGTTCATTTTTTGATGCTGCTTCTTTTCAAGGGTCCCTAAGAGCAGGAACAGTCTGGATTAGCTCTCCAAGTGGTGACATTTAATAAGTTAACAAACCCTAAGGCGGTCACAGGATGCCTGGATCCAAACATTTTTGATACCTGTGCTATTCTCATCAGATATGTAACTAGAGTCTCCATGCTTTTCTCAAAGATAGCATAAGAACAACTCCCAGCTTTGAGAAGTTGTTTGCTGTTTTGTGCACACCCCACCTACCCTGGCTGCAGCCTGGGGAACCCCTGGATGCAGGAACCTGTGTAGCTCCTCCTTAATTCTTAGTTAATCCTTTTCCTTCAAAGGCAGTGATATTGGTATATAAGGCAGGGCTACTGTTTCCTGGCTGCTTAGAAACCTCAGTTGTATTAGCAGCAGTGATACCACTGTATCTAGAGCAAGAGATCATGATTTCAGGAGTTGAGTATAAAATTCCCAATTTTAATTCCAGCTTGACTCATGGTGGCCTATATGTAATTTCTCATATATCTGTAAATGAGAAAATGTTTTGAACCAAAGGGTTATAATTTATTTCAAATTATTTACTTGAAATAAGGTAGGACCTAATGAGAATAACTGAGTACCACTTATTAATGTGTGACCTTGGGCAAGTTACTTCACTTCTTGTAAGCTTTGGTTTCCTCAGCTATAAATGGAGATCACAACTGCACCTGCTACAGAGTGTGTGTGAGGCTCAAATGAGAGGATCCATGTGAAAGACTTGGCATAGTTCTTAGCATACAGTAAATGCTCAATAAACATTAGCCAAGTATTACATTGAATCCAAAAGAATCTGTCTGTAAATCACTCCAAAAAATAAGTTGTGAAATTAGAAGTTAAGTAGTAGAGCTCAGATCAAGGTCTAGGACTCTTTCCTAAGCCTCACTTTCCTCACACCATAAAAATACCATCTTTAACTCTTTTCTTGGAGAAGACAGGTACCCAGAAACGATTCTGTCTCTGTGGAGGTAATCCATTCTACCAGAGCTATAGAAATGACTGGTGAGATTTTTTTTCATTTAAGGTTTATTTTTCTCCTTTTTTAAATGATTTTGAAACTAATATTACTCATTATAAAATATTTGAAAAGTACTAGAACAGGCAAATAACAAAAATATTATTCATTATTTCACTACTCTAAGATAATTGCTATTTAACATTTTTACTCATTTTTCCTATTCAGGTTTTTCACAGAGCTGTAATCACACTTTGTATAGATAGTTTTCACTTAAGGTTGTGTCTTAAGCATTGTTACCCATCATGGCAAAGTAGTTAATGACATGTGCCTGTGGGGTCAGACTACCAATGTTCAAATTCCAGTGTTTCCACCCTGTGTGAACCACACACATTATTCATTCCCTCTCTGCCATTTCTCCATCTGTATTTGGAGATAAGAATAGTCTTACCTTACAAGATTATTATGAGAATTAAGTGAATTAATAGATGAAAAGATTAAAATAGTGCCTGATATATAGTAAGTATTCAAAAATGTTCCATAATAGTAATTTTATTACATATTATTTAAAACTTTCCGAACATAGTTTCTAATTGCTGCATCTTATGTATTTCTCAATTTTAGATACTTTAATTTTTTCCAAAAAATTTTAAATAGCTAGTAGTATGCTTTTTCCCCTATGTTGAATCAGTTATTTTTTTTTAAGAGAAATAGATTATCTGAAGTGAGTTTGTTGGTAAAAAGCATGGTTGTTTTTCGGTCATTGACCCATTATTCTTGAGAGTTTTAAGTAGTTGGCATCCCTGTGGTGATGTTAGTTCAGCCCTCTTGCCATCCTGTTGTCTTTATAAATGCCTTCTGTATTTGTTATCTATTACTGCATGCCAAATTCCCTCAAAACTTAATCAGCTTAACACAACTAATATTTATTTTCTCACAGTTTCTGTGAGTCAGGAAACAGGTGTGGGGTAGAAGCAGCTCACTGGGTGCCTCTGGCACCAGGTCTATCATGAAGTTGCAGTCACAGTAGCAGCCAGGCTTGACTGACATTGGAGAAGCCACTTTCAAGATGGCTCAATGACATAGCTGTTGACAGGAGGCCTCAGTTCCTTGTCATGTGGGCCTCTCCATTGGTCAACTTGGATACCCTCACAACATGGCAGTAGATTCCCCAGAGCAAAGTCTGAGAGAGAGAGAGAGAGAGAGAGAGAGAGAGAGAGAGAGAGAGCAAGCAAGGCAGAAGCTGCAGTGTCTTCTATGACTTCACCTCAAGATGATAGAGAAGCAGAGGCGTGAATGTCACAAGGGTGCAGATCTTTGAGGGCCATTTTGGGAACTGGCTGCCTCACTTACTATAGAGCATTGACTTTTATTATTATTATTATTATTATTATTATTATTATTATTATTATTATACTTTAAGTTCTGGGATACATGTGCAGAATGCGCAGGTTTGTTACATAGTTATACAAGTGCCATGGTGGTTTGCTGCACCCATCAAGCCATCATCTAGGTTTTAAGCCCCGCATGCATTAGGTATTTGTCCTAAAGAGCATTGACTTTCCTATTATTATCCACCTTCCTCCTGATCCCCCGTTTCTGGTAAAATGGGAAAATACCGAGTTTGCCCTGTTGATTTTAGTCTTCAAAGAGTGAATAAGCTACAAAGCTTGATGGTCTTTGTGTATTCTACAAAACTATAAAAACTGTGTAATGCGAAGTAAGCTACTTTCTTAATTTAATAACAGATATCAGAAGCCAGTGGTCAATGTCATAGTTACCATTCCAATTAAAGTTAGGAATAAGACAAGGATGTCTCTCTCATCTTTGTTATTCAGCCATATTTTGGAGGTTCCAGTCAGCATGGTAAAATAAAGTAAAAGGCATAAATAAAAGAAGAAAGGAAGCAGTCATTATTTATAAATGATTATTTACCTGAAAATCAAAATTAAAATGTCTAAGAAGTATATTAGAATTAGGAAAAAAGATTAGTAATGCATTTTGTTATAAAATAAACATAAAAAATCTATATCCAGTGAGCAGGAGTGATGTCATGGGGTGAGCAGGGCTGAGTGTGGAACCTTGCTGAGATGCTCAGGCAGAGCTGAGTTCAGTGTGGAGAAGGGCAAGACTTTTGTCAGAAGTGTGCCCCGTGCAACCCCAAGAAGGGCAGTGAGCAAGCACAAATGTGCACTAATCCTGAATGGGCTGTTGGGTGGAGGACGGATCAGGCCCCCACATTCCCTTTGTGGTTGCCAAGAAGAGCAAAGGCATTTCTTAGGGAGAGGATACATGGTATTCAGAGAATCCCAGAAAGTATTTAATAGGAGAAAAGCTTCTTTCAAAATACAAAAATCCTCCTTTTTAGATGGAGTTTCAGGCAACTACAATGAATAATTGTTGGCCTCTAACTTATAAAACAAAAATGTCTCATGGCTATTTTTATATGTACCATATTTAAATTGATCACTTATACATAAAATATTTTTTGCTGAACATCAGCCTATTATAAATAATATGGACCTGTGATTAAATGAATATGACCACGCTTTCTATGTTTAGATAATAATTTCAATTATTCAGTAATGTTATCTCACTGTTTTCTTTCCAAAAATTTGATTAGCCTTGAGGTTAGATTGTTTTAGTAATATGTAGCTTTTTAGCAAAAGTGGTTATTGGTATCCTCACCTAGAGAATGTTGGGTTTTGGTGTTTTTGTTTTTGTTTTGTTCATGTATCTAGTTATAAACTGGGACTATATTTAAATACTGGAACATCTACTCCGTTATTTCACAAGATAGAACAAGACTAACCAATATTTGAATTCATGTTCATTGGCCAAAGTACATCAGCTTTGTCAGAAAGTGAAGACCGAAGCGGGGGTCCTGAAATTAAGAAATCAAATTCTAATTATCTATAATTAACATGGTGCTTTATCATTAATGAAGGGCATTTCAATACACCTTGTGAATGATATCAAATAAAATATATCTAATACTCAAATTTTATAGAATGCTCTATCATACCAGATGATTTTTATCAGAGTGATAAGATAGAGGAACAAGTCAAACTGTAATGATGGTCTCACCTTTGAATTAATTAGCTTGAGATTAAGTTGTAATACAGAAATACCTTTAAAAGCTGTTCCAGTACACAGAAGTGGAAGTGTGTTATACATGTGTGATCATGATGCTTTTGCAAACATTAGATTGTGTATTATGAGAAAACTACTGTTGGTACAAATTTGTTAATTATGTGGACATAAAGCTTAAGTTATAATAGTTTAAAACCAGTCCTTAAACCCTTAAAAAAAGTAATGAAGAAATTGAATCAAGACAATAGACTGAGCATATTCATCCATCTCTCCTGTCTTCCCAAATACCTTAAAATGTCAGGAAATGCATTTTTAAAAAATTCTTTATTGGCACTAGAAAATGCTAATCTGGCCCTCAGCAGAAAGGAAATAGCCATATTGACTCTGAAACTGGACTGAGAGATGCCCCAGTCCAAAACACAGCAGGAGAAACTACCTCTAATGCAAGGGCTGAACTGGAGAATGTTAACCTTTGAGTGAAGAATAGAATGCCTGGGGTGGAGGTGGAGGTTTTAGGGTAAATCATTAACATGAGTTAGGCAACTATACTTTCTTCAGGATTGCCAGGCTTGGAGCTCTCTCCTGGTTTTCATATGGAGCTTCAGGAGACAGTTGTATCCAAGTTAAAAGCTCAGAGCTCAATTTTAAAGAAAGAGACCACTTCCCTAGAGAGGATAAGTGTAAGGAATGGACAGAAAGTAGGGCAGGACTTAAGGTAATTCAAGACTTCTACCACAGATGCAGGAAAAAATAAAGTGATGGCAGCTTTTCCCAAGAAGAATTAAGGATTTAAAATAAATTCTTCTACCCCCAAAGTGAAGTTCCCTACATTTCAGCAGTTCGGAGGGTCCACACCCTGCCAGCATATCCTAACCCCTTGCACCCAGTTACACAAAGCCCATAGACCCTCCCATTCAGGAGAGAGACCTGTGGGTGAAGCATACCTAGAATATGGTAGAAGTCACCCACAACATTTGTATATAATACTAATCAGCCTATCCTTTGAACTTGAATAATATCAATAGACAACCAGAGATCCCCAGCCATGAAGGAGCAACAAAGTAAGTGAACAGAAGAATTAGAGAGAAAACAGGCAATTCAGGGGACAGAAGACAACTTTTAAGAACTATAATTAATTAATATAATTAATTAGAGTCCTCAGAGAGATTTGAAAGAAATAATCAGTAAAGAAGCTTTCTTGAAAAGTAATAGAAGAACTGCCATAATTAAATATCAAGCGTTAGTTCTGAATGATATAATGGATATGATCAAAGACCAAATTTAGACATGTGGAAAATAAAGACATGCAAAAAAAAAAAAACCCCTCTAGAATGTAATGTGTAGCAATAATATAGAGATAGAAAAGGAGAGAAAATTTAAGATACAGGTAGAATTAATCTTGGAAATCTAACATCTGTTTCATAGGAGTTCCCTAGGGAAAAGTAATAAGGAAAAGGAGAATAGAAAATGAATCAATAGAAGATTGACTTCTCATCTTCTTATCTGTAATACTGGATACTTTCAAAATCCCAAGGAAAGGATGTCTTGAGTCGTAATTATGTTCCTGGGCACACTAACACTCAGGAGGGGGAAGGCAAAACTAAAGTTAGTTTTTCACATGCAAGGACTCAAAGCTTTCTTCCCCACAGACCTTCTCTGAAGCAATTAAAAAGTGAATTTAAGGGCCCAGCACAGTAGCTCATGCCTGTAATTCCAGCACTTTGGGAGGCCAAGGTGGGCGGATTACCTGAGGTCAGGAGTTCGAGACCAGCCTGGTCAACATGGTGAAACCCTGTCTCTACTACTAAAAATACAAAAAATAGCCGGGCGTGCTGGTGCACACCTGTAATCCCAGCTACTCAGGAGGCTGAGGCAGGAGAATCACTTGAGCCTGGGAGGCGGAGGTTGCAGTGAGCCAAGATCGTGCGCAGCCCCAGCCTGGGCATCAAGAGCAAAACTCAGTCTCAAAAAAAAAAAGTGAATTAAGAAGGAGGAAAATGTAGGATATATGAAACAGCAAATAGAAGTTAAACCTGTGGTAGGTCTCCATTATTGCTGACTTTGGTATATGTATTCATGCAAGAATGGTTGGTTTTTGGGAGACTGACAAATGAAAGGAAGGACAAAAGTGCCAGTGCGCCAAAGTCCTCCCCTTGCTGGAGGATGCAAATGCTAATTAATTGCACCTGTTGTAAATGTACACCTATATAACAAATGCATGTAACGTTTAAATATATTTAGTCAGGGAAGTGGTGGGGATCAAAAGGGAAATAACTGGAAGCAGAGAAAATAGCATAATATAGGATGGCAGAAATAAGTCTAGTAGTCACAAGCACTGTAAATGAATTCAGTACCCCTAGTAATAACAAACACTTTAAGATGAGTTTTGAAAGAAAATCTAGTCATATGAAGTTTCATAAAACAGTGACATAGAAAGATTGAAAGACAGCTGATTGAAAAATATGTACCAGGCAAATATCAACAATAAGCAAGTAGCAATATTAATGCCATACTGAATGGAATTCAAGGTTTTAAATAGCGTTCAGAAGCACACAGGCATATTTTATAAAAGATAAAATTCACTATGAAGACGCCATCAATTTCTATGTAATATCAATGTATAATGTCATCTCTCAGCTTCAAAGTATGAAGAAAATGCGATATTTTCTCATACCTGATGAAAAACTTTATCACACTGCTTTTAGAAGCTGACGTATTAAGTAGATAATATAGATAGAGATGCAAAGGGGATTTGGAAAACAGCCTTGATCCAAAATAAATAGATATTAACCTTTGTATTCAATAAAAAGAAAAGCACTTTCCTTATAAATATAAATGGGATATTTATAAAAATTAACGATGACTTGTGCCCTAAAGCTGTATTTTGCCAGTCATGTTTTCTTTTTGTTGTAAATTATATTCTACTCTAGCTGGGCCCCCTTTGAAGACTTGTAATTTTTTAATTGGTTGAGACATGCCCCAAGTTACTCCTGTCACAGAGGTGGTGGATGGCCCCTGGGTCTCTGTGTTTGTCTTGTCATTGAAGAATCAGGCAGCCTGCCAGTCCCTTTCCTGCTGAGGGACCTAGAGGAAGCATCTCTGTTTCCCAGTCTCCTCTTGCTCCCCTGTCTTTAGGAATAGAGAAAATTCAGACCACTTGATCAGCATTGGCTTAGCCTTTTGGAATCCAGAAGAGAGCAGGCAGATCTACCAGACGTCCCTGCCAACCCTGGCCCCCAAAATCAACAGCTCTCTGGTGGCCAAGTTCTTGCCAGTATCTGCTGCTTTCCCAGCCTTGCTTTAGGGCAGCCTGGTGCAGTTCTCCAGGTTAACTTAGCAAATCCTCACACTGGAAATCTCCTGTCCACCAAGATGTCCAAAATTCCTTTTAGGCCTTACCAGATACCTGCCTAGGAGAAACTGGAGCTGACAATGGAGATGATGGGAGTTATGTTCAAGTTGCCATATTCTAGCATTCGCCACAACTCCTATCAGTTTTGCCAGGCAACTTACTAGGTGTCTTTCATACCTGCTTCCTTCACCCCCAGTACCTCTATTTTCATAACAAAGAAGAGTTTATGAAAATTACCCTAGCCAAAGGGAACTTTTTGCCCATTTTATTGCTTGTATGTCTTTCACAGTCACAGTCTGACATGCCTGCCCACCATTGCAAGGCGGCTTTTATTGCATGTCTAAAGCAGGCTGTCTTGCTAAACTCTTTCTAAACCAGGAAGTAAAACAAAATCGGTGGTGTGAACACAGTGGGTTTCTAAGCATTTTTCTTGTTTCCTTCCATTATGTTGGAGGATAAATTCCTGGCCCAAAGTTAAAATAATTCCTACAAATGAACAGGAATTTCAGTATGACTTATCCAGTGAAGCACTGGATATAAAGTGAGCTTTTTGCATGCAGAATTGTGATGTATTTTATAAAACCTCTTGAGATTAATGTTTGAGGAGCTAGGTAAAGATGGAAGAGATACTCCTTCAGTAATATAAATGGAAGCGTGTAGTATGCAGATTTACACCCCCCTTCCAACTCACTGTAACTTTAAAGCTGTCTGTTAGAAGGATGAAATGTAGTTGTGAGCCAGACCATGTTGGTTTGGACAGAAATTCTTACAGAATTATTAAGCCTTAAAAAAAGCAAAGGAGATTTATGCATCTGCATTTGACCAATTTGGTTTGGAATAAGTTCATAATGGAAAAGTAATAAAACCATAAGAGACAGTGTCTTCTGAGTACAGTCTCGCTTTTAAAAAATCTAAACATGCACTGCCCTATTTTGGATACAGTGACTGTAGAAAAATTTCCCATTGGTAACTTTGGGAGGGTTTTCTGTTGTTGTTGTTGTTCCTTTTTCATTGATTATCAGCCAGTATAAATTTTAAGCTTTCTGTCAAATATTTTTCTGGAGATGTCAGTCTTAGGGAAAAGAAATCCTAAAGTGTTATCTGTAGGAGTCTCCTTCTCCCAATTTCACCCCCTCCCCGAAACCTCCACCTCCCACCCCCCAACACACATAGTGTTTTTTAGATATCAGTAAAGTCTTTTTCTGGTGTAACTGGAGAGGTTGGGGTTTGGAGAGTAGGGGGTGGTTGAATGTGTGAGAGAAAGCACCTCCTGTGACTGCCAGCAGCCACAGAAGACCATGAAGAGGAAACGCATAACAAGCTTCACCTCTGAAAAATCGGACCTAATAACTTCGCAAGTTTTTGATTTCAACAGGAAAGAAAAAGAAAAGAAAACCGCTTTCTCCACTTATTCTCAACCACTTGAAGTAGTGTTATTGATAAACAATTTCTTAAAAATATTTAAAGATTTAGGAATAGAAACAAAGGAAATGAAGGCTGAGTGATTTGGGCAAGGGAAGGTGTGAGTCTGGTGGGGAGGGGTGTAGGAGCAGACATCTTGCACACAGGAGAGGCATGGTTGCATTTCCCATAGAGGACAGCAAAATAGGCATTTTATTGAATCGGATTTTTAACTTTCTTTCCACGGCCAGCAGTTCAAAGCACAGTTATTTTTATATAGTGAGAATGTGACCAGACTGAGATGGTGTTGTGTCTCTCCTGCAGGTATGCCTGCAGCATCTTTAGTGACCCCTGCTGATGTTATCAAGACGAGATTACAGGTGGCTGCCCGGGCTGGCCAAACCACTTACAGCGGAGTGATAGACTGCTTTAGAAAGATACTGCGTGAAGAAGGACCAAAAGCTCTGTGGAAGGGAGCTGGTGGTATGGAAATAATGTGTTCTTAACTAACTCTTTGGTATCAGGTAAATTTTTAAAATATCTAATTATATCTGTGATTTCTCCATTTTTTTAAAGCTCGTGTATTTCGATCCTCACCCCAGTTTGGTGTAACTTTGCTGACTTACGAATTGCTACAGCGATGGTTCTACATTGATTTTGGAGGAGTGTAAGTATCATGCTAAATCTGCTGCTAAATTTTGGCTGCTGCTAATGCTCTGTTGTCGTAGGGAAAGGTACCTCAGTCTAGTCTCTATAATAAAATAGAAGAGATTTAGGGAAATGTTGAAATTGTGTTAACAAGGTCATTTCCAAGGGGAACATACAACTGATGAGAATGTATCAACTCCTTTACATTAAATATTTGAACAGGTTTTGAATGTTATTTTTATCAAGTTAAAACAAACAAAAAATACAGCTTCTTACTCTGTTTTCTCTTCTTTTAGAAAACCCATGGGATCAGAGCCAGTTCCTAAATCCAGGATCAACCTGCCTGCCCCGAATCCTGATCACGTTGGGGGCTACAAACTGGCAGTTGCTACATTTGCAGGGATTGAAAACAAATTTGGACTTTACCTACCTCTCTTCAAGCCATCAGTATCTACCTCAAAGGCTATTGGTGGAGGCCCATAGGAAGATCAGCCCTGGGATAGTGCTGTCTTTTTGTGGGTACTGCAGTAAAGAACATCCCTCCTGGGAATGAAGCAATGCTTCATCCCTTTTACGTCCATCTCTTGTTTAAATTCAAGTCCAGGCTTTTTTATCATGTGAAATCATTCATTTTCTGGGTGTTTTCTTAACCAGATCATTGTGAAATTATTCATAATTATTATTTGGCCCTCTGCCCAGAAACCTTTGTTTGCATCTGAAAATTGATGGGATTTGGTCAACACTAACATGATTTGGGGAAAGGAGCAAGTCAGAATAGAAATTAGTACTCCCCTCCTTGAACTAGGATTGTAGTCCCAAAGAGGCTACTGTAAGGCAATCATGGTGCTCAGAGCAGTGTTTCGTGTGTGTTTTAAACTGGTAGGAAACTAGGTGCATATTTATAAAAATAAAAAACACTGGGAGAAATGAAAAAATATATATCAAATATATTCAGCCTGGCTTCAAATTGTAAGCATGCACAAATTCTGTCTCTGGATTATATTATGAAGCTTTTATGTGAAACATGTTTCTTTGTAATGAAAACCACATTGGAGATGTTTAGTAATCATATTGTTACTGGTACCAAGACTACTAGGGAAATGCCTTTGTACTTTAGGGAAGTACTTTTGGCATTTTACTGTACAGACAGAAAAAACTGAGATGTAGCCCCTCTCCTGGAAGTGCTAATTTTGAAAAACTGCTCATATGATGTACATGTACTGATTACTGCCTATTTTAATAAACACTCTTGAAAAATGCATGTTGCCCTGTTGCTGCCTGCCCTATTCTCCTCATCTCCCCATCATTGGTACCCACTTGCTTTTAAAATCCACTTTATCTTGAATAATGTAAGACAAATATGTTCTGACATAAGTATTTAATTCATGTTGCCTTGCATAATGGTCAGAGGCGCATGAATTTGTGAAGGTGGAAATAAACTATTTGTAAAGTGATTGAGTTGTTTGGTCTTGTGCATGTTGCATGGTGAGTGGATACAGTAATTGTCATTATTGGCCTACATGTTTTGTTTTGAGGGGAATTTTATTCATATTGGCATGGATATATCCTCAGTATCTTTCAAGGTAATGTGTTCCCTCATTTTCATGGTTCAAAGTGAGTACAAGAAACTGTATTTAACCATAGATAAGCAAAGAACTAGCAAACTGACACCTTAGTTCTAGTCATTCCAGCACTTTCGGCAGTTTATTGTGATGATGAAGGTCACATAGTTTTAGTAGAACTTAGCCATGAAAACTGGTATGAAATGGCAGTCGTATTTTCTAATCCAGTCTGACTCTTGCACACACCAAAACCATATACCACTGTATCTAACATTTGCTATTATTTGGCTAGCACTATAATGATTTGGGGAAAGAAGCTAGTCTTGAACAGGATTTAAGGCTATTCTTAGACCGTGATCATGCTTCCAAAGAGGCTACTAATTAATCTGTTGGCAGTCTGTATGAACATTTTGAGTTTCCAAAGTTTTTCTCCATAGCAGACAGCCATTTGTCAGTCTGTTTCTGTAAGTCAACAGGCTGACATTTGAAGTTACAGTTTAAAATTGGCAAGAGTCAATACCCGCCATAAATGGCTGATTTTTTAGAGGGGGAGGGTCAGGAGGGGAGTGAAGAGCTTTGTCTTCTTCACTAGAAACAGGACAGATAACATACATGGCTCCTTCTGTGATTATTTGACAAAACCAAAGGGGAATCCCCTCCCCAAATTCAGTGTGATAAGTGATAAATATCTGTATTATAATCTCAGAGACTAGTCACAGAACTCCAAATATGTGTTAGAAATGTGGTTGGTGTTAGAACAAAACATGCCAACTTTGGTCTTTTGAATGTGGAGAAAAGGCCCTGCATCTCTGCATTCCTTTTCTTCACTTGTTTGAGATTTTATGGCAGATCAAGTTTTCTTGGTAAAAACACTGACCAAAAATCTCATAACTTGTCCATGGCCCTGCCTGCCTCTTAAAGAGCAGTTGCATTTAATGAGAGAGCACCCTGTCTTCATTTAGCCTTGTCAGTCACTGAGAACAATTCTCTTTAGTGAATAAGAAGCCAGGGGCCCCAGGAAGCCAATGGAGGTAGGGCCACATGTCTGTGTGTCCTTAAAATCCTTGCCTTATTCTGTTCAGGGATAGGCAGTAATGGGAGACTTTGAAGGAGGCCTAATTTCCCTCTGGGTTCTGCTCAGTGGGTGGTGTTACTGTGACATGCCCTGAACAGGACTGCAATCACCGTGTGGTGAAAACCACTGTAAAATTCGCTCTGGGTTTCCCTTCTTTCTGGTGACAGCACAATCCGTTGTCGTCGTCAGTGGTGTGGCTGTTGTTGGTGCCGTGGGTCGTTTCCCTCTGTAGGGCTGAGGAACTGAAGCTGGTAACTCCCACATGCCTGCCTGCTTGCCTGCCTACGTGAGGGGGCCAGCCTCCTCTGCTCTGCCTGCCCCGAGTCTCCACTCTGCTCCTGGTCCACCACGTGATTCCTTGGGGGTTGGGAGAGAGGTCTGATTTTCATAGCAGCTTTTTTTTTTTTTCAAGGAGGGGAAAAATGTGAAGCTGACCACAAAGTGAACACACTGATTCTTGGGTTCCAGTCATGGCTGGGTTTCTTGAGGCTGGGTGGCATGCTGTCGCCAAGCTCCTGCTACACCTCGTAACCCACAACCATTTGCTGAGCTCCCTGGGGTTGCCTTAATCCCAGAAGCCAGGGTCGCACAGAGGAAAATAAGAATTCTGGCACAGAAAGGAGTCATTTAAGTGCTTATTGCATTTCAAGCTTTAGTTTCTACTTAGCTAAAATATTTACCATTGCTGGAAAACAATGTTTAAAATGTTGTGCTTATATGTTATTTAATGGCGTGGCCTATGTAAACCTCAGGATGCTTACATTTTGACAGTCTTCTGGAAATGTCTAACAGCACATAACCCAGCGAGTGGGGAATCAAAACGGGAACAAATGGCGCTTGAAACTGTTTGTAACCTCCTCCAACTAGGTATTCAGAATGCAAGTCATGCTGGAATGCTTCAGGTAGAGGGAGATCTCAAAAAAGAAATTTGATGAGTCCTGTCTTATGGCCCCATTTATCAACCTTCCAAATAAACTGTCCCTAAAAGTCATCATGTGCCTTTTACCGCAGAAGGCATACTTGTGGGGATGAATTTGTATCCTTGCCACTGAGCAAAATCCCATTTTCAAATCAGGGTAATCAAATGCTTTCAGGATGTGGATTTTTCCAAAGATTTTTAAGAGACACGTTCCCTGGTCAGAGCAGTGAAATGTTCTTTCCACAAATGGTACTGCCCACAAAGGAGTGTGTGCCTTTTGTTTTACCTTTGGGGAATAACCTTCACCAAAGAGTTCTGTTATGTTAGGAAGACCATGGGGAGTTCATTGCTTCATTTTAATGTCTGAGGCATCTAACAGCATTGTCACCTCTGCCTTTTTTTTTTTTTTTTTTTTTTTTTTTTTTTTTTTTTTTTTTTTTTGAGATGGAGTTTTGCTCTTGTTGCCCAGGCTGGAGTGCAGTGGTGCAATCTCGGCTCACTTCAACCTCCACTTCCCAGGTTCATGCGATTCTCCTGCCTCAGCCTCCCAAGTAGCTGGGATTACAAGCATATGCCACCACACTCGACTCATTATTTGTATTTTAAGTAGAGACAGAGTTTTTCCATGTTGGCCAGGCTGATCTCGAATTCCCGACCTCAGGTGATCCGCCTGGCTCACCCTCCCAAAGTGCTGGGATTACAGGTGTGAGCCACTGCGCCCGGCCACCTCCGTCTCTTAAAACAGTGGCAGTCTTCAGCTTGAAAGTCCAGATCGGGATCCATGATGGTTGGGATTGTGTCTCTGATTCTCTTAGTAGAGGCTCCTAGTTATTATTTTGAAGGATGGATGAATGGATGAATTTTTGAGAAACACTCTTGAAAAATGCATGTTACCCTGTTGCTGCCTGCCCTATTCCCCTCATCTCCCCATCATTGGCACCCATTTGCTTTTAAAATTCACTTTATCTTGAATCATGGAAGACAAATATATTCTGACATAAGTATTTAATTTCATGGTGCCTTGCATAATGGTCAGAGGCACATGAGTTTGTGAGGGTGGAAATAAACTATTCGTATTTTTTTCCCAAATGAGTGATCTCCATTATTGTCCTACTTTATAGGCCTTTTCTATTGCTGGAGTTAAAACCATAACTGAAAACAATCACAGTTTTATGTACTGATCACTTACTTTACAAGTCATAAATAAATATTTTATTAAAACAACTAAAGCTATTTAAAATTGACTTTAGTTGAGTCAGGCATTGTCACATAAACTATATGATAAATTTAAATTCCCTGGTCTTGGTTAAAAATAAAACTTTAAAAAAATCATCCTCTGAGATGAGTTTTACATTCTAACACGAGTTGAAATGTATTAGTACAATAGTTGTTCTTATCAATGAATGTATTACTTGTTTACAGCTCACCTCTCTTGTTTCTGAAGCTTTCCCTTCGAAGCTGCTGAAGACAACAGGAACTCTCTTTTAAAAGGGTTTGTTTTTAGCTAATGCATTAATTGACTCCAAAAAGAGTCCAAATGGAACACTCTGCTTTCATCTGCTAGGGTAACCTAATAAAATAATGTTGTTTGCTTTTAGATTCCCAGCCGTTAAGCGGGTTTTGCTCAAAGCAAAACCACAGTCCCGTCGAATAACTTTAGAAGGAAAATTAAGAAGACGCAGTAATTGTGCTTTTCTGAGCCTCACTTCTCCTGGGTCACAGACACACCCCCAGCACACTGGTCTGGCCACTAAGGCTCCAGTGCCTACCGCTGCTTTGGACAGGGCTTCGGCCCTTCAGAGGATGCTCCATTTTGCAGTGGAGCATTTCTTTAAGTGATTTTAAAGTGAACTCAAGATCCCAGAACAGACTAGTGCAAATGTGCTACAGTCTATTCTATAAGATGGGGAAAGGGAAATACAGCTTGATGAAAAGAACTGAAAACATTATTTGTTATCTTCTGTCATTCTCCTCCACCATCCCTAGCTACTTATCCCAGCTCTTGCCCTGGTCTCTTACTGGGCAGCATTCAAATGAGAAAGGAGCACATAATTCAATCCCAGATTTCTGTGGCCAATAAGGACTCATTAAATATGAGCTATTATGTGCCAGGCATGATGTCTAAGGTAATCGTCTTTATCACCCTCAAGGTAGGTACTGTTCTTTTCCCTGTGTTACAAATGAGGAAACCAAGACGGGTTCATCTTCTTGCCCACAGTCTCTGAGCTAGCAAGTGATGGAGTTCAGATTTGAGTCCAAGTCTCATGGCATTCTGTCCTCCCTCGAAGGTTTCTCAACAAACTATATCAAAAATTCTTATGATAGTCTTTGCCCAGGATTTCTTACTGTCTCTATTCTCAGTATCAGATGTATCATTCTAGCTTAGAGTAGAAGGGAAGGGTGGTCTCTGTTTACTTACCATAGTAAGTGCATTTGCTACCTCAAAGAATTCCAGGGCCTGAGGACCAGGTGAAGCCTGACAAGCCTTTTGAGATTCCTCTTAAAACTATTTTACAGTCTATTAAAGTCAGTAAAGAAAGGATTAAGGTAAACTTGAAGCATTTGCCCCACGGGTGTAAAATTGGAAGGTAATGTGGAAAAAGTGGAGGTAAATTTACAAACTGTTACAGTGTAACATGATATGATGCAAACTGAATTGGACCATCTTAAAAATCTCTTCTATAATTAGAAAATGCCGTTGCTCAACAAAAGTTGGAAATAATGGAAAACCAAGTTAAAAGTAAATATCTATGGGTACTTGGCCTCAAAGTGTGTCTGGAGGGAATGGAGACAGTTTACAGAATGTGGGATTTGCTGGAATTACTTTTGGACATGAAATCCCCATCACCACTAATGGTGGACAAGTCTTACTGTATTCCCAAGTTTTCTGCTACCCCTAAAGTGAAAGGAGAGGATACCTACCACTGCATTTTGGCAGCTCTCTGACCCTATTACATGAAGGAGAAAAGATAACTGAAAGACCCGCACCAAATATTCACAGCATATTCTTCCTGGGCAAAATAAAAATAAAAACATTAAAATGTAAAATTCTTCCTCTATTCTCAAAAGAGTAGTATATTTCAGAATGTGAATTTCTGTTTTGAAGCAGAATTTACTTACATAAATTCTAAGTAGTAAGACATGCTTTATCAATTTGAAAATGTATGTCTCCTGATAATTAGCTGCTTAATGTAAGAGGCTATTTTTTATAATAAACTCTTCATTCGGGCTAGCTCCACTGCTATAAAAAGGCTTACCTGTTACAGTAAAATCAGAAAAATTAAAAAGTGGGGATAAAGAAAATTGAAGCAGGCATTTGTTTTTCTTCTGAAGACAGAAGTGAAGCCACTGTTTATTGAATATTTTTTTCTTTTTTGCTATGAAAAGTGGAGATTTCTCTAGATTTTCAGTCTCAGCCTTTTTCCTCCCCACTATGCAGTACATGTACCTCATTCTTCCTAATCAAAGAAGCAGGTCATACTTAACCTGAAATTTCGACTTACCCTTTGACCGCTACTTATAAAGTAGGTGATTATTATTTTTTTTTTAAAACAGTTTGCCCATGTGAGAGTGCACGTAGAGAAACCAACTGTATTAGTCCATTTTCATACAGCTATGAAGAAATACCTGAGACTGGGTAATTATAAAGAAAAAGAGGTTTCATGGACTCACAGTTCCTCATGACAGAAGGCAAAGGAGGAGCAAAGGCACGTCTTACATGGAGGCAGGCAAGAGAGTGCATGCAGGGGAACTGCCCTATATAAAACCATCAGATCTCGTGAGACTTATTCACTGCCTCGAGAATAGCATAGGAAAACCCGCCCCCATGATTCAGTTACTTCCCGCTGGCTCCCTCCCACAACCCACGGGGATTATGGGAGCTACAATTCAAGATGAGATTTGGGTGGGGACACAGCCAAACCATATCACTGACTATTCTGTCTCTTTGGTACTTGAAATTAAGCATGTCATTCTTTCCTTTTATTCAATTTAGAAAGTGTCTTTATTTGGTTTTAATGACTAAGCTTTCTGATACTACACATATCTGGCTAAATTATTAAAAATGATAATGGCATTTGGCATAAGTTAAAAGTTATAACTGCCATCTTTTATTTCAAAACTGTTTCAAAATAAATTTTAAAAAAACAGCAATGTACCTTCAAAGCCCCAAAGTAAATATTAAAGAAATGCTTTGGCCTCTATTGGCATCCAATTCTAGTTTACATCTTTCTGCCTTAAAAATTACACCTTTGAGGCCGGGCGCGGTGGCTCATGCCTGTAATCCCAGCACTTTGGGAGGTCGAGGCAGGTGGATCACGAGGTCAGCAGATCGAGACCATCCTGGCTAAGACGGTGAAACCCCGTCTCTACTAAAAATACAAAAAAAATTAGCTGGGCATGGTGGTGGGCACCTGTAGTCCCAGCTACTCGGGGGGCTGGGGCAGGAGAATGGTGTGAACCCAGGAGGCAGAGCTTGCAGTGAGCCGATATCATGCCACCTCACTCCAGCCTGGGCAACAAGGCTAGACTCCATCTCACAAAAAAAAAAAAAAAAAAAAAAAAAAAAAAATTATACCTTTGGGATGCTGGACGCAGTGGCTCATGCCTGTAATCCCAGTACGTTAGGAGGCCGAGGCGGGTGGATCACCTGAGGTCAGGAGTTCGAGGCCAGCCTGGCCAGCATGGTGCAACCCTGTCTCTACTAAAAATACAAAAATTAGCTGGGCTTGTTGGCAGGCACCTATAATCCCAGCTACTTGGGAGGCTGGGGCAGGAAAATAACTGGGAGGTGGAGGTTGCAGTGAGCCAAGATTGCACCATTGCACTCCAGCCTGTGTGACAAGAGTAAGACTTCATCTCAAAAAAAAAAAAAAAAAAGGTGTATATATATATATATATATATATATATGTATGTGTATATATATATATGTATGTATATATATATATACATACATATATATATATACACATATACACACACCTTTGGGAGATTTCTGCATCTGGCCATGATGGAATCATGAAGAAAACTAGAAAACTGGACAAAAATGTGCAATACAATACATAGAAAACTGCACAAAAGTATACAATATAATTTTTTTTTCTTTTTTCTTTTTTTTTTAGAGATGGGGTCTCGCCATGTTGCCCAGGCTGGTCTTGAACTCTTGAGCACAGAGAGTCCTCCCACTTCAACCTCCCAAAGTGATGGAATTACAGGCCTGAGCCACTACACCTGGCCCCGTAATACAATGTTTTCAATCACTGGATATGAGGCAAAATAAGACTGTGAACTCCAAGAGAAAGGAAAGAGGTAAGACCTACCATTGTCCCAGCTTACTGCCAGGAAGCAGTTTCCAACTATTGTGCAGAGAAGGAGAACCCAAACAGCCCAGCAGCAATCTCCCCAAATTAAAAAGATGGACATCAGAGAGGAGGAAGACCATGACTGTTAGAATTTGTAAGACAAAATACTGAACAGAAGAGAGCTGCTTCTAGCTCTGGAGTTTTGCAAAGTTCTCAACTCTTTGGCCAAATATTGATCTATTCATTTGTAAAAGGAAACTATCTAAAATTTGGGAAAGAATCACTAGAGAGACAGAAGCAGAAAAATTCTGGAGCTCACAAAGGGGAAATAGTTTGTATTTGAACCAGCTAGAGTGCAAGGTCCTCATAATACATAGAACATCAGGAATAATCTTCAGAAGAGTGTCACAATATAAATAAGGCTAAATTCATCCTAAAATAAAAGTGACTCTGCTCTTAAAGCTTAAAAACAAGACTTGACAGGATCCAACTCATTCCAAGTAGCTTAACTGTCAGAACAAAATTCAGTACTATTTAAAAGAATACAACAAAATTGCATAACATACAATGCCAGATTTACAATGTCCAGGATCTAACAACAACAACAACAACAAAAATCACTATTCATAAAAAGAAGATAGAAAATACAAACTGTAGCCAGGTGCGGTGGCTCAGGCCTGTAATCCCAGCACTTTGGGAGGCTAAGGTGGGTGGATCACTTGAGGTCAGGAGTCTGAGACCAGCCTGGCCAACATGGTGAAACCCTGACTCTACTAAAAATACAAAAATTAGCCAGGCATCGTGGCAGGCACCTGTAGTCCCAGCTACTCGGAATGCTGAAGCAGGAAAACAGCTTGACCCCAGGAGGTGGAGGTTGCAGTGAGCAGGGATAGCACCACTGCACTCCACCTAGGCAACAGAGCAAGACTCTGTCAAAAAAAAAAAAAGAAAGAAAGAAAGAAAGAAAGAAGAAAGAAAATAGAAAATATGAACTGTAGCAAAGTGAAAAACCAACCAATAGAAACAGACCCCAAAATCAAATGTGATGGAACCAGCATCAAGACCATTAGGACAGCAATTATAAATAATCCATATAGTCAAGAAGGTAGGGGAAAATGTGGTATGTAGATAAATGAAAGATATAAAAGACATAAAGGAAATTTACAATCTCTGAGATGAAAACTGAGTGAGAATATAGTAGACACTGCAGAAATGAAGATTAGTAAACTTGAAGGCACAGCATAGGAAATTTTGCAAAATGAAGCAGAAAAAGAAAAAAAATCTTTAAAAAATGTAAGGACAATATAAAGCAGTAATGTGTGTCTGTGACCCAGAAAAAAGAACAGAAAAAAATATTTAAAGAAGTAATACCTGAAATATTTCCAAATTTAAGAAAAACTATATACATACAAATCTATGAACCTCATTGCACCCCAAGAAAAACAAACCTAAAGAAAACTCCACCAAAGTACATCATAATGAAAGTGATGAAAGCCAGTGATAAACAGAACATCTTAAAAGTAGCCAGAGGAGAAAGGACCTATAAACCTCCAGAGAAAGATGATAGGAGAAGATTTTTAGTGGGAAAGTATACAAGGCAGAAAACAATGGGGTGATATCTTTAAGAAATGGAAAAAACAATGTCAACGAAGAGATACATACCTAGTAAAAATATCTTTCTTAAATGAAAGCAAAATAAGACAGAAAAAAGAGAATTCATATTGCTGATAAATTAAAGAACTGTTAACTATAGTTCATTAGGCAGAAGGAAATAATACCAGATGTAAATATAGCTCTATACAAAGAAACGAAGAATGATACAATGGGAAAGAATGGGTACATTTTTAAAACAACTTTTTAAATTAATTTTGGAATTTCTTTAAACAAATAATTGACTCTTTAAAGCAAAATCAATGATTATATATTGTGAGGTTTATACCCTATGTAGTAAAATGCACAACAATAGCACAAAGAATAAGAGAGGGAAATGGAAGCATAATATGAAAATGTTCTTATACTATACATGAAGTGGTATACTATTATCTTAAGGTAAAGTGTTATAAGTAGAAAATATATATTGTAAACCCCTAGAGCAAATGCTAGTAATGATAAGAATACAAAATAAATAAAACAGATTTGGCTAATAAGACATTAGTGGGGAAAAATGGAAATCTTAAAAATAAAAATCCAAGTGAAGACAGGGAAAGAGGTAAAAAGAACAAAGAACAGATAGGGCAAATAAAAAAGACCAAGACAGTAGATGTACCTTACCATATTGATAATTACATTGAATATAAATGGCCTAAACACCCTAATTAAAAGAAAAGATTATCAAATTAAATTTTAAAATGTAAGACACAACTATATGCTACCTAAAGCAACCAACTTTAAATGTAAAGACACAGATAAGTTGAAAGTAAATTGATGGAAAAAGCTATACTATCTAATCACAAAATTATGAATAAAAAGCTGGAGCTGGCAATACTGATATCAGTCAAAGTAGATTTAAGAAAAAGGATTATTACTAGGAATAAACAGCAACATTTCATATTGATAAAAGGGTCAGTTCATCGCAAACACATGAAATCCTCAATATGTAGGCACCTAATAACAAAGCTTTGGATACAGAAAACAAAAGCTGATAGAACTGAAAGAACTAAAAGATATCCACAATTATACTTCCAGATTTTGGTACTCATCTCTCAGTAGCTGATATAACAAGCAGGCATAGCTGGGCACAGTGGCTCATGTCTGTAATCCCAGCACTTTGGGAGGCCAACATAGGAGGATTGCTTGAGTCCAGGAATTTTGAGACCAGCCTGGCAACATAGCAAGACCCTGTGTCCACAAAAAGAAAAAAAAGGTAGGCAGAAAATCAGTACATATATAGAAGATTTGAACACATTTATCAAATAATAGACCTAATTCATATTTTTAGAACACTCCACCCTACAACAGCAAAATACACATTCTTCTTAAGTACAAGTAAAATTTCACCAAGGTAATCTATAATATGGGCCATAAAACTAGTCTCAATAAACTTAAAAAGATTGGAATTATATACATTATATTCTCTGACTATAACAGAATCAAACTGGAAATAAATAACTGAAAGATCTTTGGAAATTCTCCGTATATTTGAAGAATAAACCATATACTTCTATACAACCTATAGGGAAAATAAGAAACCACAAGAAATATTTGGAAGTATTCTGAACTGAATGAAAATGAAAACACAACATATAAAAATATATGCAATGAAGTTACAGTAGTGTTTAGAGAGAAATGTATACCATTAACTGCTTACATTAGAAAGATGGAAGGTCTCAAATCAATTGTCTAATTTTTCACCTTAACAAACTAGAAAAAGAAGAGCAAGTTAAACCCCAAAGATGCAAAAGATAAAAAATAATGAAAAGCAGAAGTCAACGAGACTGTTGTGGGGTGTGGGGAGGGGGGAGGGATAGCATTAGGAGATATACCTAATGCTAAAAGACGAGTTAATGGGTGCAGCACACCAACATGGCACATGTATACATATGTAACAAACCTGCACATTGTGTATACGTACCCTAAAACTTAAAGTATAATAATAATAAAATTAAAAAAAAAGAAAGCAGGAAAATAAGAAACAATAAAATCAAAAATCCAATTCTTTGAAAAGATCAATAAAATTGGCAAATAAAAATCAGAAAAGGAGGGAAAAAACCCACATAATCATTATCAGGAATTAAAGCAGGGACAGCAGTACAGAGTCTACAGATTGTAAAGTGATGATAAGAAGATGTTATAGAATGTTATGCACAAATTTATGCCAATAAATGAAACAACATGGATGAAATAGATTCCTTGAAAGATATATCCTACCAAAGTCACTGAAGAAGAAAGAAACAATGTGAATGCTTGTATTTAACTACTTGAATTCTTAGCTTAAAAATCTTTTTTTTTTTTTTTTTGAGACAGAGTCTTACTCTGTCGCCAAGGCTGGAGTGCAGTGGTGCGATCTTGGCTCACTGCAACCTCTGCTTCTTGGGTTCAAGCAATTCTCTGCCTCAGCCTCCCGAGTAGCTGGGATTGCAGGCACCCACCACCACACCCGGTTAATTTTTGTATTTTTAGTAGAGACGGGGTTTTACCATCTTGGCCAGGCTGGTCTTGAACTCCTGACCTCGTGATCCACCCGCCTCGGCCTCCTAAAGTGCTGGAATTACAGGTGTGAGCCACCGCGCCTGGCCTATACCCCAGAGAAAAATCCAAGCCTAGGTGACTTCACTATTGATTTCTACCAAATATTTTAAGAATAAATAATGAAAATTCTGCAAAAATCTTAGAGAAAATGGAAGGCAAGGGATTACTTCCCTAATTCATTTTATGAGGACAGCATTGCCACAGTATCAAAATCATATAAAGACATTGCAAGGAAAACAAAACAAAACTCTAAAACAATATCCCTTTGCAGAAAGAGATAGAAATATCCTTTTTAAAATTTGGCAATTTGAGCTCAACGTTATAAAAAGGGGATAATCAATCCATTATGACCAATGGGTTCGTTGCAGGACAGTAAACATACACTCAAAAACAATTGTTATATTACACTAATTAAAAAGAAAATCATGATTATTTAAATTGAACTCAGAAAAGATATTTGACAACATTCAACATTCATTTTTTTGTAAAGTCTCACAAACTAGGAATGAAAGGAAACTTTACCTGATAAAGCCTATAGCTTATATCATACATCATGTGAAAGATGGCATCCTAGCCAATACAATAAGATATGTAAAAGAAAAGCATAAAGATTGGGGAAAAGGCAGCAAGAGAGAAGCAACTCATCACATACAAGGGATCCTCAATAAGATTAATAGTTGGTTTAGTCAGAAATCATTGAGGCCGGAAGGCAATGGGATGAGATATTCAAAGTACTCCAAAAAAAAAAAAAAAAAAAAACCTGTCAATGAAAACTGATAAAACCGTTCCTCAAAAATGAAGAAGGCCGGGCGTGGTGGCTCACGCCTGTAATCCCAGCACTTTGGGAGGCCGAGGCAGGTGGATCACGAGGTCAGGAGTTCGAGACCAGCCTAACATGGTGAAACCCTGTCTCTACTAAAAATACAAAAATTAGCCGAGTGTGGTGGCACGCACCTGTAATCCTAGCTACTCAGGAGGCTGAGGCAGGAGAATCCCTTGAACCCAGGAGGTGGAGATTACAGTGAGCTGAGATTGTACCACTGCACTCTAGCCTGGGCAATAGAGCAAGACTCTATTTCAAAAAAAAAAAAAAAAGAAGAAATTACGATATCCCCAGATAAGCATAAACAAACTTTTCCCTAACCTGTGCTACAATAAATGCTAGAGCGAGTCCTTCAGGCTGAAATGAAAGGACACCAGAGGGTGATTTCATAATAATAATAAACTTATCAGAAAGATATAATAACCTAATAAGTATGTCTCTAGTAACAGACCTTCAAAACGTATGAATGAAAAATTGGCTGGGCACGGTGGCTCACACCTGTAATCCCAGCACTTTGGGAGGCTGAGGTGGGCAGATCACTTGAGGTCAGGAGTTTGAGACCAGCCTGGCCAACATGATGAAACCCTGTCTCTACTAAAAATAATACAAATATTAGCCAGGTATGGTGGTGGGCACCTGTAATCTCAGCTTCTCGGGAGGCTGAGGAATGAACATGACTTGAACCTGGGAGGCAGAGGTTTCAGTGAGCCAAGATCATGCCACTGTACTCCAGCCTGGGCTACCAAGTGAGACGCTGTCAAAAAAAAAAAAAGTATGAATGAAAAATGGAGAGAACTAAAAGATCAAATAGACAAATTCACAACTGTAGTTTGTATTTTAACATCACCTTCTCAATAATTGACAGAATGCATAGAAAATAAAAAAAGTTTATAGAACCACATAAGATCTGAAGAATTCATGTTCTATTTAAGTACGCATGGAATATTTAGCAAGTTGACCATATGCTAAGTCATAAAAGAAATCTTAATAAATTTAAAAGCATTTGAAATACAGGTTATTTCATATTATATATGTTTTCTCACTAAGCAGAATCAAACTAGAAATGAAAACAAAGTTTTCTGGAAAACTTTCCAAATACTTGGAAGTTAAACAAAACACTTCTGAAAATCTCATAGGTCAAATAATATACCACAATGGAAATTAGAAAATATTTTGAACAGAATAATAATAAAGTCTATTGCAAAATCTGTGGAATATAGTAAAAGCAGTACTAAGAGGGATTTCTCTCTCTCTTTTTTTTCTTTTTTTTGAGACAGGGTTTCGCTCTTGTTGCCCAGGCTGGAGTGCAATGGCGCGATCTTGGCTCACTTTAACCTCCGCCTCTGGAGTTGAAGCGATTCTCCTGCCTAAGCCTCCCGAGTAGCTGGGATTATAGGCGCCGGCCACCACACCTGGCTAATTTTTTGCATTTTTAGTAGAGACAGGGTTTCACCATGTTGGTCAGGTTGCTCTCAAAACTCCTGACCTCAAGTAATCCACCTGCCTCGGCCTCCCAAAGTGCTGGGATTACAGGTGTGAGCCACCGTGCCCACCCTAAGAGGGATTTTTAAAACTTCAAAGGCCTATATTAGAAAAAAGTGTTAAATCAATGATCTAAGTTTCTACTTCAGGAAGGAAAAAAAGAGAGCAAATTAAGCCCAAAGTGGAAAGAAGAAAAAGTGAATAAACAATAAAGAAAATTGACAATTTAAAAAGCTGGTTCTTTGAACAAATTAATAAAATAACTCTCCTAGCAAGACCTTTTATTTTTAAAGAAAACATAATTTAGCAACATCAGGAACTTAAAAAGAGATGTCATTATGATTCTATGTACATTAAAGGGTAATAAGAGAATAGTATGAACAACTTTATATGGATACATCTGACAAATGAAATGGATGCATTTCTTGAAAAATGCAACTTGTTGAAAACAACTTACCAAAATGGAACCAAAATGAAATAGAAAATCAGAATCTCCTATTTCTATTAAATAAATGCACTTGTTACCAAAAACGTTTCTACAAATAAAACTCCAGGGCCAGATGGCTTCAGTAGTAAATTCTATCAAACATTTAAGAAAGAAGTAATACCAATATAAATGCCTTCACAAAATAGAGGAGGTCAGAACACTTCCCAACTCCTCATGTGAGCATAATCATGTTACTAAAACCTGACAAAGACATTACAATAGAAAATTATAGATCAGTATTCACAAGGAACGATTATGGGAAAACCCTTAAGAAATTACTAGCAAATAAAGTCTAGTGATATGTTAAAAGACTAATACATGTTGACCAAATGATTTTATTTCAAAGTTGGATTACCATTAAAAAATGTCAACCAGCATAATTCACATTACCAGAATAAAGGATAAAAATTATGTGACCGTGTCAACAGATGCAGAAAAGAAGCATATGATAAAACTCAGCATCTACTCATGATAAAGACTTTCCTAGCTAATACTGTAAGGCAAAAAAAAAGAAAAAAGAAAAGAAACAGGAGGAAAAAAGATAAGATTGGAAAAGAAGAATTAAACTTTTCATTATTTTCAGATGGCATAATTGTGTATGTAGTAAGCAATTATATCTAAAAAAATCTATAAATAATGAGTATATTTAGCAAGGTTGCAAAATATAACATCAATATACAAAACTAAATTTCTACAAACTAGTAAAAAATTTTGTTAAAAAATTGAAAAATAATAACAATAGTATTTACAATAGCATAAAAAATTAGTTGTTATCTAGGAATAAATTGAAAAAAAAATGTTTGCACAACCTATTGGTGAACTCTATTAAAGAAGACCCAATAAATACAAGTTATATTCTATTCTTGGATGGCATTGCCCCAAATATACAGATCCAGTGAAATTCCAATCAAAATCCAAGCAGTATGTTTTTTTAAAAGAATTCCACAATCATTCTAAAATTCATGTGCAAACACAAAAGACCTAGAATAGTTAAAATAATCTTTCAAAATGAGTAACAAAGTTGGAGTACTTACGCCACTTGATTTCAAGAATTAATACACAGCTATTGCAACCAAGACAGTGTGATATCATATAAGAATAGATAAATTAAATAGTGAAACAGAATAGAGGACCCATAAATATGCCTATACATATATGGACAATTGTTTTTCTACCAAGAATGCTAATTTAATTTAATGAACAAAAAGAAAATAATCTCTTCAGAAAATATTGCCAAAACAGCTGGTTATCCATATGTTTAAAAAATAATGTTTACCACTACCTCATTCCATACACAAAAATTAATTTAAGAACCATCATCGACCTAAAGGTAAAAGCTAAAACAATAAAATGTCCAAAAGAAAACATAAGACAATATCTTTGTGACCTGTGGCAAAGATTTACTAGAAAGTATGATACAATACTAAGTATAAAACATAAAAATGGATACAAAAGACCTCAGCAAAATTTAAAATTTTTGCATATCAAAATATTATATTAAGGAAATGAAGTTCTAAAGCATATGCTGGGAAAAATGTTTGTAACAAACATATCTGGCAAAGGAATTATATCCAGAATACATAAAGAACTCCTCTAAATTAATAATTTTTAAAAGCAGAATATATAAAGAAAACTCTTCTAAATTAAATTTTTTAAATATTATCTGATTAACAATAAATAGAAATAATTTTAAAGTGGCCAAGATGTGGCCAAGATACTAGAAGGGATATTTTACAGAAAGAAGAAATAATATATTAAATGTGGCCAATAATCACACGAAACATGCTCAAAATCATTAGTCAGCGAGTATATGCAAACTAAAACCACAGCTAGATACCATTTCATGCTCACCAAAATAGCTAAAATAAGAAGACCTACAATACCAAATATCAGAGAAGTTGTGGAGTCATTAAAATCCACATAGAGGCCTGGTGCGGTGGCTCACGCCTGTAATCCCAGCACTTTGGGAGGCTGAGGCGGGTGGATCACGAGGTCAGGAGATCCAGACCATCCTTGCTAACACGGTAAAACCCCGTCTCTACTAAAAATACAAATAATTAGCCAGGCATGGTGGTATATGCCTGTAATCCCAGCTACTCAGGAGGCTGAGGCAGGAGAATTGCTTGAACCTGGGAGGCAGAGGTTGCGGTGAGCCGAGATCATGTTACCGCACTCCAGCTTGGGCGACAGAGCGAGACTCCGTCTCAAAAAAAAAAAAAAAATCCATATAGAGCCTGTGGGCCACTATAAGGATTTTGACTTTTATTGCAAGTGATGTGAAAGCCATTGGTATGCTTTGAATGGAGGAGTTAAATGTTCTAACAATATCACTCAGGTGGTTATATTGAGAAGTGACTGAAGGGGTCAAAGGTGGACACAGGGAGACCAGTTAGGAGGCTGCTGCCAGAATCATGACAGAGATGATGATGGCTTGGGTTAGATTGCTAATATGGATATAAACTTACTTCTGGCCATCTCTTCTTTCACACAAAGGAGATAACTGGGTGCTCAACTAACAGCTCTGTCCATTAAAAAGCCTTTCCCTCTTGACTGTCTTTCAAGGTTCATCCTGAATGTGGTATAAAGTAGCTAGCTGTAATCCATTGACAACCTGTACCCACAAACTGAACTAACCCATATGTAAACCAAACTCTAACGTTTTCCTCTTCTTTCAGCGGCTCACACAGAACTCACCTTCCCTACACATGGCCACGTATGCAAGCATGGAGGAGGTGTGCTGGTAAAATCCTGTTGGGTGACAATGGGCTTTTGAGCTACTTGCTCATGCAGCTTACTTATGTTCAGAGCCTTCTGGTTCTGTACATCCCAATGCACAGTTTCTATCTTATAAGGGGTTTCTTTTAGTTCTATTCAACTTTATGAGTTGGTAGGGCTGACAGGGCTCAACTTATAATTGGTTGTATGGATGTGTAGTTAAGTTTATATCCTATGGCAAAGAACTTCATTTCTACCAGGATCCGCTAATATGCCATGTGCTGTTTTTGCTTCAGATGGCACGGCCTTCCTGTAGAATCCCATGGGCCACTACTATAATTTTCCAACTGGGACTTGCCAAAAATTCTATACCACATCTTTTCCCACCATTGACACCATTAATATCATAGCATCTGCTGATTTTATGGCCCATACAGCAGAGCTCTTAGCACTACAGTTTGACCTGCTGCAAAGTCTTTTCCCATTCTGAGCCTCACCCAAAGTTGTGCATGCCAATTAGTAGATGCACCAGAGCAGTATTCTTAGATATGGAATATGTTAACTTCAAAAACCAAAGAGGCTTACCAGGTGCTGTGCTTCCTTCTTTGTGGTGGGGGCTCTAAGCTTCAGCAGCTTGTATTTAAGAGCCCAGCATGCTCTTAAACATTGGGGAGATTCTAAAAAGCTCCACTGAAGTAGCAGGTCCTTAAATCTTCCTTGATTTTATTTCCCACCCTCTGGAGTGCATATATCTTACCAAGGCATCTGGTACATTAGTTAATTCTTGCTTATTCTGCATAGTCTGTGTGATACCATTGATGTAATGGATCAGTGTAACATTCTGTGGATGCTCAAGCTGTCTAGGCATCTTTGGAGTATTACAGAGGGAGAGAGATTAGCATAGCCCCAAGGCAAAATTGTAAATTAAAATAATTATTTCTCATGAGTGTAAACTGTTTCTGATCTTGTTTTATAGGTGGAATGAAAAAGAATGCATTCATCCATCAATGGCCACATACCATGTACCAGAAGCCTTATTAATCTGTTCTAGGGATGACACCACATCTAGTACGGCAGCTGTGATCAGTGATCTTACTTGGTTGAGCTTGCAGTACTCATCAGTTATTCTCCAAGATCCATTTAATTTATAAAGGGGGCATACTGGGTTATTAAATAGATATATTATAGGGAACACCACTCTATATCTTTTAGGCCTTTAAGAGTGGCACCAATCTCTGCCATCCTCCTAGCTCTACCCTGAGATGTAATATTTTGTATTTGCTATCTTGGCAGGGGAAGATGAGAATGTGGCAATTTCAGAGGTCTCCATTTGGCCCTCCCTTCTGTGAGAGTTCTTATCCCAGAGGCCAGGTACCTGATGTAAGTATATCAATTCTAATTGAACACTCAAGGATTGGAGGAATGACGGAATGACCCACTGTGTGTGTACATAGACCTAATGAGCCCATTGAGACCTAGACTTTAGTAAACACTCCATTACATTACCTTGTTGCCGTAAGCCACCACTCCAATAACATTTCAGTGTGAACCCAGATAATGTACCCAATAGTCTTCAAATGTTGGTTTGTTTCTTTCTGCATTGTATATTCACCTGAATAAATGCCCATAGGTCCTTTTGGGGAAGGACTGGGGAGATCATCACAATAGATGTTTGCAGTGGTGTCCTCCCTCCTGGTGTCCTCCCTCCTAGCAACCTCCTAGCAATCTTCAGTCAATGGTTTCTGGATTGGAAAACTGGCTCAGGACTGGACAGTGAGCAGAGGTATGTGGCTTTTTATTGAGGTAACAGTCTTCAGTCTCCTGCGTCTCCATTCTTGCTCTATGTTTTTGGTCATAGAAGTTAAGCAACACCCTTTTGGCTGCCTGTCTATTTTGCCACTAGGAATGCCACGTTCTTTTAATTACTCCCACAACTTCCTATGGGTAAAGCCTTCTTGGCTGCTCTCTGATCTAGCTGGTCATTATGGCAGTTGTGGCTTCCTGACTTCTGGTGGTTAACTGCCACCACCTAGCCACTATTACTCTGGGGTCTCATCATCCCCATGGATGTGAGCAAGCCCCACTCTGTGACTGCCTCTCCTACCATCAGCCCTGACCTACAAAGGAAAGCTACTGCTAAACATTCTAGAGATGCTAATGCCTCTCTCACCAGCTCATTGCAAATGGCTTTGAAGGGTGTGTACTCTGGGTGTTCCTATGTAACATAACCCTTGAGTGTGTCTTCTGAACTTAAATAATATATCTATTCTAACATACCCATTTCCTTCAACCTCTTTATTCCTTCCTGTACTACCAGGGCAACTCAGACATTTTCACTCTAGTGAATGTAGGCTACAGCTTTTTCAGACTTCGAAGAGTGACCCTATTCTTTAGGCTCCTTGCCAGAGTATAAAGTCATATAGCTTCCCTCTTCCTTACCACACACACACACACACACACACACACACACAAAACCCTCAAAGTCAATGAATTATTCCTTATCTAATCAACATTCTGGCTCCCTTGATTAAACACCTCAAAATCTAATCCCAGTGCTACTCCCCGGGCTCCTAATGGTACATGCTAATTTTTGCAATTCTTTTGAGGTAGTTTCTTTGTTCTTTTATAAGGCCTAGGACATCCCTAGCCAGCTTAGGCAGGACAGCCATCAGACAGTGATGTTTGTCAGGCCTCAAGAAGGAGAGAGGGAAAGGGAGGAGAAGAAGGAAAGAAGGAAGGAAAGAAGGAAGGAAGGAAGGAAGGAAAGGAAGGAAGGAAGGGAGAGAGGGAGGGAGGGAGGAAGGGAGGAAGAGAAGAAAGTCAGCTAGTCTTGGACTGAAGTACAGTTCTGAGAAAGTTTTAGCAATGCTGACATAAAGTCCTGGAGCCAAAGTTACTTCAAAGAAGTCTTATGTCTCCTAGATACAGGCCAGCCTTAGGATCTTTGCCATACTTAGTCTTGGCTGGCAAGAGCATGCAGGAAGCATGACCTTGGTCAAACTTGGTAATGGGTTTCAAAGCAAGGCATCATAACTGTCATTCAACCATGTTCTCTGCAATAGGAAATCTGAAAGGCACATCTTTCTGGCTACCACATTTCATCTGGGACATCAGCTGGGGTGACTTAAATGGCTGTGGACTGGCTGTGTATTTCTCTTATGTCTACATGACCACTCCATGGTCAGCTTCTGTGTGGCCTGGAAGTCTCAGGGTAGTTGTGCTTCTTACATAGTAGCTCAGGGACCAAGATTGATTGTGCCAAGAAACCTAGGTGGAGGATATATGTCTTCTTATAACCTTGCCCTGGGCTGTGGACTGAATGTTTATGTTCATTCCCAAATTCATATGTTGAAGCCTAAATCTTCAATGTGATGATTTTTGGAGGTGGGCCTTTGGGAGATAACTGGGTCATGAGGGTGGAGCCCATATAAATGTGATTAGTGCCCTTATAAGTAATGACATGAAAGAGATCATCTCTCTCTCTCCTCACCATGTGAGGATTCAATGAGAAGATAGCCATCTGCAACCTAAGCAGATGGCCCTCACCAGATATCAGATCTGCCAGCATCTTGACCTTGGATTTCCCAGCTTTCAGAACTGTGAGAAATACAGTTCTGTTGCTTAAGCCACTCAGTCTGAATACCACAGTATTCTGTTATAGCAGTCTGAATTAACTAAGACATCCTGGAAACCACGTAGCAGTCTGAATTAACTAAGACATAATGGAAACCATGTAGCATCACTTCCCAGTATTGTGTCAGTCACATAACGTCAGCCTGGATTCAACAGGGGATGGCCTGCACAAGAATTGGGAACTGCCTTGGAGACCAGCTACCACAGTGGGATATATAAGAACACATGTTCTTGTAACATTTTATGTGCCTACTGTAAGTGACTCAGGCCTTTGTACTTTTCACATCATCACTCACCGAATCATTCAATTTGGTCTATCATAATAATGCACGCGTTTTGCATTTTTATTCTTAGGTACTTTACTGTATGTCTGTGAAACTTTTTTTCCCAGTACTTTTCATTCAAATGCTTTTAAACCTATTCCAGATACTCATTTGTTATCTATAAAATTTTTATTGTTTACAAAGGATTTCAATATCTAAATATTGTAGGCTACTTGGAGAAAAAGTATGATACTATTTTAAAAATAAAAGAAACCGTACAGTTGAAGGAATCCCTACCAACAAAGTCCCAATGGGAATTCCCTTCCTAAAAAGCCGAAAGCCTGTCTTCGAATGTTTTTCATGACTCAACCGCTATTTGTTTTCATTTTCCCTGGGCATAAAATGACCTTTTGAAAAAAAGTTTATTGAAGTTGTTTATAGACATATTTCCTAGTCCAATAGTAATAAACATCATTTCTGGTGTAAATTGTTTTTAAGAAGAAATGTGTAGGACATTTGGTATTTGTTCGTCTTAACCTACCTTTCTTACTCCAACAACTGTCTTTGGGCAAGGGTGGCTTTGGTAAAGGTGAGAAGGAGGAGCTTTCCAAAAAAACCACACACATTCCCTCATAAAAATAAAACTAGGAGTCTTGGTTTAAGTCCAGCCAGGTTGGCTGCTCAAATAAATTCATGATCAGTCTTTAACATGGCTCTAATGTATCTCTCCCATCTCTTGTCCCAGCAGAATTCCAGTCAAGCTTTCCCCAAGCAAAGGATTTACTCACACTGGTGCAGACCTGGTTTGAAACATTTTATTGGCAACACTGATGTCATATTTAGGAACCATAGACTTTTGTCAGACTGTGTTAGCTTCAGTGAGAAGTATTAGTGGTCAATGATATTTGAAATATTGTTAAAGTACCCAGAAATAATAGGCATTAAAATTCATTTCGTTCACTGCAAGAAACCTCTAAAGATTTCATGTCTTCAGTGGAACTGGCATACTGTAATTGCTATGTGGAACTTAATATAACCTCAACAGCAGCAGAGAGAATACAGTCCTCTCATTATGCACATGCTCTAGGATCATTTATTTTAATGCTTTCAAATAAATACGTTCCATGCAGCACACTACAATAAATAAGGAGCAGCAATGTTCTTCTAGTAAATCCATTCATAATGTGAGTCACCATGTAAAACACCACGTCTCAAGTCTTTGGCCCTGTACCATAATATGAGGAACACCACATCTGCACCCAATCATATCTGGCTTCATATGGATTTAATAGGACTATGCCAGGAGTGCATGTAAGCACAAATTTAACCAGAGGTTTCCAGCTATTAAATACAGCTACAAAGTAGTTAAAAGGCAGCAACTTAACCCATAACCCCCTTCTCTTCATTTTTGAGACAGAAATATAAAGATAGAAATGCTGTGGTGAATTTTGGGTCAGTGGAAAGCATGATGGGACACATTTAGAATACTTGGAGCAAAGCTGGCACAATATGGCACCCAAAATATCACAGCAATACTGATACTGAATGGACACCGAATACAAGAGACTTGACTGCAGACGCTGAGCTCTAGGACACAAAGGTGGGGGCTGCAGTGGGGGTGGCTCATTTCCACTAGGCAGATAACTCAACAGTGCCTTCCTCCTCGCTATCAGCTCTGTTAGCACGAATTTCCACAAGGGTCCTGGCAAATCGGGTCCATTCATCATTGTGGGGAACTGCAAGCTGCAAAGCAAATCAATGGAGAAATGATGAACAAGATATCTTTCATGTCTGAAAGCCTTGAAGCCTGAATGACTGTCCCTTTGCCCCCACACCCTCCAAAGCAGATGTTTCCCTTGGAATGTAAAGGAAATCAAACATTCTTCTTTGGATCAAGCAGGGCCTGAGGTGTTGCTCTTAAACTAACAAGAGAACCATGTCACTCTTGGAAGCAAAAGCACTCACATAATTTATAAAACTTTAAAAACCTATGCAAACTATACAATTACAGTAGCCACATCAAAGTGCTTTTAGTAATGAAATTTTTTTCATAAGAAGACCAGACTTACAGTGAACACGCAAATAAAAACTGCATATAATGACCAAGATTTTCAAATAACTGTATATTTTATTCCTAGTCAATGGTATTAATCCTTTTTCTAAAGTGTTGCTGATGGGGCAGTATGAAGGGCAAAAGAATAGCTTATATATACAAAGAAATATTCCTCCTATGAAATAGTACTTGGGCCTTTCCAGTAAGATTTATATGATGATAACTATGAATAGTAGTAATAGTAGCTATTATTTACCAAGAGTTCTGTTCTAAGTACATTACATGCATTAACTCATTCGTCATAATAATCCTATTGTGCCTCACATTCCTATATTAGAGGCACAGAAAGATTAAATAATCTTACCAAGGTTGCATAGCAAGCAAATATAAGTGTCAATGGAATCTGGTTCCAGTATGAGCATCCTTAGCCAGTATGCTATACTGATTCATCAAAAAGGGGGATTTATAAAATTTCCAAAACATCTTCTGTGTACAATTCAGTGAGGAGGAAATTAACGCCTCCTCCAATGCAAACTGAATGTATGAATTTTTGTTAGTCGTTTTAAAGGATAATGATTTCTCCACATAGCATCCAAAAATAAATTGCTTAAAAATATAATGCAAGTATCTGGGATAGAAAAAAAAATTTGAGGATGAGAAACAGGATTTAGTAGAAGTCTGAATGCTTTTCACACAGAATAAAATTCATTTAGATTTTACACGCATTTTCTTGGAGTTTTACGCTATAATATAGTGTAATTTACCTATAGGTACTAGTGCTACACTACACTATCCACATATTCCATAAACATTAAGAACATACAGCCATCTCAATTAATATATTTTTTAATGAAAAAAGAGGAAGCAAATAAACCTAAGCTTTGAGATTGCTTCTACAGCTGGAAAATTTCCCACCACACAGAGCCAAATGATTAGAACTTAAAATTTTTATTACAAGGATAATATTCTCAAATACTATCTGTCCAAGAAAACTTATTGGAAAGTGGCAACTTCATTGTGCAAAGTATATCCTTAAATTAGTGTTCTGGTATTAAGGCTAAATGTTTCAAGAATATAATTCTGGAAATGATATAGAGGCAAGGAAAGTAAGTTCTCTGACTTATTTTGCGAAGTGCAGTACCAATAAGAATTCTTACTTAGTCACATGAATGAGTTTCTGAATGGTTAAATGCTACTATAATTATTGAAATGAATCCAAATTTCTTTGTAGGCAATAACACAAGTTCACAATAGTCTTGAATGATTCTGATACCCTTTTGCTCAGTCTGTTTTCCCTACTTTGGACTCTTTTCCTATATTCCACGATTCTTCATTTTTTTTCTTCAATTTTAGAAAATACTCCACCTGGAAAATGAGGCCCCCAAAATGTACAATACAAACAAGCTCACGAAAACCATAACCAACTAAGGGTTGGTATCACATTTATGTAAAAGAATAGGACCACTATTTCTTTTCCTTCTTCCAACCGCTGAGCAAGCCTTTCCAAAAATAACCATGAAACAAAAGCCCAAGAAGAGACAAAAGCCTAATCATGGTAACACATTTATAACTTTTTCCCATATAAAGTAAGAATCAAGCTAAAGCTAAAATGCCCCATAACTTCATATAACTTTAAATATTGGAGAAAAAAATAGGTCTCAATAATACACAGTACCTTGCTCATAAAGAGCTGAGTTTGGTTCCCAAACATAAAGCTATATTATTAGTTAAAATCGTACAAATTTAAGTTAATACATGATGACCTATGCAATATGTTATTGATAGCCATGTGTAGAAACTATAGACTATTAACAATAAAATAGGTAAATGTATTTACATAGTTTCATGTAGTAGTCATGGCAAGACTGTTCAGAAACGGCCCTAGTAAAGATTATGGAACATTAAGGTTTGAATAAATGTCTACACACAGTTTAGAACAGAAGTGAGTCTCATTTACACTATATAAAATTACACATCTCAAAAATTACATAACTTCATAAAAATGAGTTTTATCAAATTTAAATGTTTCTGTTAAACACACAAAACATAAGCCAGCGAGTGAACTACATGTGACTTTCTTCATGGAGGTGGGAGTAATAGTGCTGTAATACTAACACATGCCCTTAGAAATATAGATTCACCCTCATAAAAGTGTCACAGTAATCTAACACATCTTGTCCTCTTTTTGATCTGCTGAAGTTTCATTTAGACTGGCAAAATGTTTGAAGTTTGTTTTTTAGGGATATTTGTTTTGCCAAGTCTTTTCCTTTTCATGGTATCTTAATTTTCACAGAAATATTTATTTTCTTGCTTCACAAAAATTCTAGAGTAGAACATGATGAAAACACAATTCCTCCTAGAAACTTGAAATCAATTTATCTACCTCATCCTACTATCCTTTTCATCTTGTTGACTGTAAAAATAACCCAAGGTGATTGTAATGTTAGATTTAGAAGGTGAACTGCAGACTGCCCCATTTTTAGAATTAAATATCACCATCAGGAAGTACTTTAAGTATCATCTTAGCTTGAAAGTGTGAATGTGTATTCACAGGCTGTTTCTACACCCAAAGTAATAATTTTTGGCATTAGAATTACTTGTAGGTAAGACCAAACAGGTGTCCTAACAAACAAGAGGGCCAGGGCCACTCTTTTCACTTTGCTGTTTCCATGACTGTAAATGGCATCTGTTTGGACAGAACTGCCCTTCTTACCCTTGGCAGTTCCTGGCTCTTCTCACGTGGTAGTCTCTGATTAGAAATGGCTAGAAAGTAGGCTCAAGAACATAAATGCATTTATGATTTTCTCTAGGAGATTTTTTAATCCAACACTATCTTAATCATTAAATAGGAAAAATCTTTGTTCATGTTTCTTACAGAACAGACTGCTCTCATGTCCTACCTTGCATATAAATGTATTCAATACTCATTCAATCAGCATTGATTGAGTGCCATTTATATGTCAGGCACTGTGTTTGAATTAAAGATACAGTAGTGAATCATTTTGGAATATGAAGACTATGAAATACAGACAAAAATTAATTATGTTTTTTGTAGGTCAAACTGTGTGAATACTGGCATTAAAAAAACTTCACTGACATTAAAAAGTGAATAGCCTAAAATTTACCTTCCTTCAGTGACAACTGTAACATTTCCTGATATCTGTTGTGTGTCAAGCAAGTAACAGGGAGGCAAATGGCATGTTAATAACATTGCTTCAGCATCTCTTCAAGTTTCTATTAAGGCATAAAGGCTAAATCTAGAGTATCACTATGGATTTTTTCTCTGAGAATAATAGCTTAGAATAATTTCCAAACAATTTATGTTTGTGATAGGAAAAAAGATCATAAGTTATTTTGACCAATTAAAAATGTATAGTTCAATTAAGGGAACACCATTAAAAAAAAAAACTTCAAAAATTTCCCAGCATTGTTCTAAGTCAATGTGGATCTGGAAACATTTTCTGCCTCCAGATTCATCTCTGATGAAGTCTGCATCATAGGTTAGGGATGACTCAGATATTCCAACTGCTTCATCGACTGAGTTCACCAACAGCCAGTCCATCTCCTGATTCAATGACTGTTTTCTAATTTTTTGCTAAACATATAAAGCATTTTCATGCCAAAAGTACTTGAGGCTCAGATTCCTGAGATAATAAAATCTTAACTCTAAAAGAGATCACCTTTTATAGATATGATACAATCCCATTTTTACAGCCAATGAAACTAAGGGCAAAGGTAGTTACTGAGGTAGCAATTTGGACATAAGAAAGAGGTAAAATGAACCTCAGATTTGGACAGGAGACTCAAGTCCTGTTCTTATCTTGGTTGCTGGCAACGGTCAGGCACTTACCCTCTCACTGCCTCAATTGTAAAATAAGGATGATGATATCTGACCCATTCATCAACAGAGATGTGGAGAGCATGAGAAAGGTAATCAAAGTAAAGAAAGTACTATGAGTTCATCATGGATTGTCATGCATTCTTTTTCTTTAAATTGTCAGTCAAATTGAACAGCTCCCCAAAATGATACGTTTTGTGGCATGCATACCAATTTTACAGTATTTTTCTGTTTTTTAAAAAAATTTCCTTGGGAATTAATTCTGATTGTTATGTGAGGATGTTAAGAAGCAGGGCGTAGACCTTTCTTTAACAGGTAGGAGAGGACAGTATAGGGAGCTAAATGATTTGCTAAAGACCACATAACCTTCACCTGTTAGTGTGGGGCAATCAAGACTCACCCCTTTGAGAAATGCCAGCATTCCATGACAGAAGGGCAGGCAGGTAATGTGTTTTGAATCACCTGCTCAAAGATTGTAAAGATTGTTTTAAATCTTCTAAGATTCTTGGAAGACAAAAAGTCTACAAGCAAAAGCAAAAGTGCAAAAGTTGTGGAAAAATTCATGAAAATGTATCATTTTAGCCTCCCAGAGCCCCACCACCCAGGCTACCCCACTACTTCTCGGACCATGTCAGGGATCAGTCCCCTCCTCTCTGCCTGAGTGGACTGGAGGCTGCCTCTGAACCCGGTCCCACCTCACCCCTGAAAAACTTATCAGTCTAACCCTTGCTCGCCTTGCCTGGGTGTCCTGTATACCTAAAGGGAGGCACAGACTGTGGAGTAATAACATTTGAGAATGGAGCCAGGGTTGACTTTTTTTCTGCTTCACCAGCCAGATCCTGGTTTCTTTCCCAGATTTGCCATTAACTTGCTGTGTGTCTTTAGGGAATGCATGGTTTTAACACTTCTGATCTTTACTTCCTCATTTGTGTGAAACAAATTGTAAGATCCATCTTCTAGGACTGTATATTAAATAAAACAAAAAAATGTAATAAGCTTAACACAGTGCTTGTACACTATAAACCCTGAATACATGATGTTGTTTTTCCTTCTTAATGTTTATTCCTTTCTTCCAATTTTTTTATTTTCTTTCTTCCTTGCATATTCTCTTTCTTCTTTTCACCTATTTAGAGCTGTACTTTTTTTTTTAGAAGTATACCTTATATTTTATCACATTTTATGTCTGAAATACCCACACAAATAATTTCCTAAGTAGTCAGGCTTTTAATAATAGCTAACTTTCATGAACGGGGGACAGGGAAAGAGTTCTTTCAAATCACAAGAAAAATTCTTTCAGAGTTGCTACTTTCCATTGTTGGTTTAAAAATCAAGTTTAAAATATAAGTATTTATTGTAACTATACACATCCACACACATATGTAGACATGCACATACATATTTTTTATTTTTCACATGTGACTAATACATCCTAATCCAGCTCTTTCCTTGTGGCACTTTCCACAGTGGGATTCTTCATTTTTACCTAAAGTTGTAAGGATTTGTAACTGCTGTACATGCTGTTAAAAAAATCAAATGACTTTTTATAACCAGGGTTAAACATGCAAATATCATTCATGTGTTCCTTTTTATAATCACATGGCTAATAACTATTTTGAATAGTTCTCAGTCAAACCTTCCTCATTTTTTAGTAATTGCAGCTATAATAATTTTAAATAGCTGCATTATCTGCAGTAACTTTCACCATCCCAGTGCAATATTTTTCATAGTAAAAATATCTGTCTCAGGTATTGCTTACTTTAGTTTTCTTTTTTTAAAATCTTGCATAATTAAGACGTTAGAAAAGCGCTCTGATTTCAGTTGGTTTCTCAGATACATGAAGTATGGCCAAGACATTAAGTGAGTAGGACTCTAGGTTTCAAGATAAATATTCCATGGATGTGTGGCTCATCAGCCTCTTTGTAATTTTTCAATTAGATGAAGTAATTTTAAAAAGTGTGTGAGACTATCATGTTAACCATTGATTTCCAAGAGATACACGACAATTCATCTCTGTATTAATCTAAAAATTAAAGTTTTCTGTTAAAAAGATATCTTACAGATTTCCTTTCACTTTAATACACATTATTTTTTAATGCATTTACAGAAAATGTGGAAATGTACATCGGTTTCCACAGAACGACTGCTAACCCCCTCTAAGCTCTAAAAGCCTTTTAAAAAGGACAATTATTAATGGCACCCAAATTCAGGAGATTGTTGACTTACTGGTATACAAATACATGTCTGTGTTCAGAGGAAGCCTGTATTTTTTAGGACAATTCCCTTTACCACACACACAGATGGGAGCAAAGTGGGAGGTAATATGCAATGAAACAGCCACTGAACGACCAAGCATACCCGCTTCACATAAATACAGCCCCACTGTATTTAACTCCCGGGAGAGTCTAGCATCGCAGCTAACAATGGATGAAACCACGGACCAGAATTCCAAGTTAGAATGCAATATACAGAGGGTGTAAATATACTACAGTGTTCTACCACAAAAAGATATATGGTATGTAACTTATTTAGAGCAGTTTCAAAGAAGTCGACAAAGTAGGAGTTACATTAGTCTCTGTACAGCACAGTCTGCTATTACCAGTCAATAGGTACAAATTTCTGTAAAATTAAGCAACATTCTTACCTATGGTGGTCAGATGGTATTTGATTGTTTTTTAATTTCTTTTCATCTGGAAATCCCATCTAAGGGAACCCTCATCCACCCATGAAGCTTCAGACCTCTCTGCCAAAGGTCTCTTCCCTTGTATCTTTAAAGGAGTGGTTTATTTTTACTATTTTTACCACGTTTTTTTTTTACAGTAACACTTTTTAAAAAATCCATTACCACCTAATTAAGGAAAGAAATAAAAGTAGGACATAAAAGTCAAGTAAATAGTAACAAATATGGGTCTCTATCAATTTCAATAAGCCAGCGAATATAGAAGGAAATATATATCCTTCTCCTTAAACACTATCTTAAGAAAGTAACATGTAAAATATTTTTCATGTTAAAATTTAGCATTATAGGAAGCATGACAACATTCTGAAGGTTTTACCTGTGGAAGAAAAACAACAACAAAACAACAACAACAACAACAACAAATATCCGAAGAAAGAGTTAATTCACAAAGACCTAAAGATGAATAGTCTTCTTCACATTTGTATTAAAATCTTATCATCCTTCTTTCCTCAGAAATCTTTTCGCCTTATTTTTTTCCCTACTATTTGGAACAATCTATTTCTCTGCCCAAAAGATGGAGAAAATGCTAAAAACGCTGGTTGATGGGCAATAATGAAAAATAAACTTTCTAAACATGAATAACTTGTTTTCCATAACACAAAAGATCAAGAAAATGGTAGGAAAAAGCAAAAGCATGTGCTACACAAGCTCAACTGTCATATTAGCTACTAAACACATATCCCTTCTTTTCTTGATATTATTAACTATAGGTTTTCTAATAAATTCTTAGCAACCACTGCGTCTAAGCAGTTTTGACAAAAAGAAGGCTTATTGCTAAACACCTTAAAAACATTTACCAAGGTAATAAAAGAAATGTCATTCCCTCCTACTGAATGTTTGGGCACAAAAGAGGTATTTTTATAACGCAGTTCATGATTTACCATATCTATAGTGTCCAAAAAAAGCACAATGAAAAGGAAGCATTTTTCCAGTGGTTTGACAACTGTTTGAATCAACGGTTATGCTTTTATTACACTAGTGGCCAACTGCTCACTTTTAAAAGCACAGGAGGGGAGGGAAACTGGGAAAGAGATTGGGGGGAAGGGTAAGTACTCTTTTCTAAAGATATTTTCTAAATATCCTTTTCTGTGCAACTACAGTTAAGTAATTTTTTTCCTGTGCATCAATCTGTAGCCAACTTGGAGGCTACATCCTGAATGCTCTAAACAATTAAGCTTTCCCTTAATTTTTCCTCAAATTTTCACATGTGAATCATTCATTCACCCATCAAATATTTATTGTGTGCCTATTTTGTGCCAGGCACTTTGCTAGACTGGGTTATTGTGTTTTAATAGACAATTGTCAAATAACCACTTTTTGTACAATTCTGTGGATGTGGTCTTCCAAAGGTTAAAAAAGAAGCTGAGGAATGTGATAATCAAGGGAGGGCTGACAATCTGAATTTTTTTTTTTAAGTCACAAGGGTAACTTTTTTTTTTTTTAAATCATACTAGAAGGTGTTCACTTTCTTATTTATTTATTCACTTTGAAAATATTAGTTTATGTTCACTTTCTATCTAAGGGACCTTAATGCTGAGACCAATACAAATAAAAAATTTAATCTGAATTGAGAAACTATTGGTTGACTATTAGGAGAAAGAGCTTAGAAATGGGCCACTGATTTATCTACTAGGTTAAAAGTATGAAATTGCTTTTACAATGTTAGCAGTTTGGATATTTCTTAAATGATAAGTAACTCATGCTTTAAAATTTAAAAGATGTTCTGATAGCTGACATTCTCAAAAATTCATGTAAGCTTTCCTTGAAAGTGAAATATAATGATTCATTCACTTCCTCGCTTTTCAAGTCCGACCTACGTGGTGTATAAATATTTACACAGGAAACATGAATAAGCAGATATTTGATTATGTATTATATTTTAGATATGCCAACAGTAGCACACATACACATGTAAGAAACAACTCCATTCTGTACAGGCCCGGGTTAATCTCGATTCACAGATGATTGGAGAGACTTCACATTTAGCTTTTAAAGCTGTGATTTGAGGCTACTGCTCTAAGCAGCAATTTTTCAAGATAAAATTTAGCAATTTTGAAATTATAGAACTAAACACAATTTTGTCAGCCATAAAAAAATTAACACTATAATTAACAACTGCTTCATAATCCAAACTGCCATTGAAGATGACAGTTTGAAACCACAGAAGAATCATGAAGATGATTAGTTATACAAACTGGTTCTTCTTTCAGAAGGTTTATATTCATAGATCATTTATCACCAAAATGAGAATATATGAACTTCATTGAATTTTGAAATTACTATACACACATTAATTTGCTGTTTATAATATTAGATATTAGGGCTTTCTTTTCATTGAATCAACTACTCCATAATACATGAAGTCATAAGTATTTCTTTTCAATTCAGAAAAAACATTTGCTTGAGAAGATATTAATCCTATAAGTCCATTTTCATATACTAATGCTACCTGAATAAGCACACTATTTATATAATAATTAGTTTAATCATGGTCTTTTACATATATAATTATCAAAGTGAAAGCCACAGCTATTACACGTACTATAAGATGAATACTTACAACATTAATTGGAATTAATTGCGCCTTTTCTTTTTTAAATTAAGCACTTTTCCCAGAAGAAATAAAGTTAATACCAAAATTACAATCATAGATTTTACCCAAAATATTTAATTTCAAATACATATAATTTGTTATGACAAATGAATTAATATATTATTTCAAAGTGGCTTATTTTACATAATTATATTTATTAGCATCTCAAATCTGCCCATGCAAATATATCTTGGTGCCCCTTGACTTAATAGCACAGCATTGGGGCTGTAACACTAAAAATTCAAGTAAAAACTGAAAAATCCAGTTGAAAAGCTTGATGCTTTGTTCTTATGCCATCAACTGCTATCTAGATGTTATCGACAGAACCAGGTATTTGGATTTTCACATTTTATCTGGATGTTTGGTATCACTGGAAGAATTTACGCCTAAGTCTTTTCTTTTTCAAGGAGAGAAAATCAAAGGAAGTATTTGGTATCAGCTAAAGAAAATAATATTGTTTATCCACCTAAGAATAAGCCAGTACTTGCAAAGGCCTTCAAGAATCTAGGAAATTAATGGCCACACTCATTTAATGAGAAACACCAGTGATTCAGATGATCATACCTGGATCTTGCTAAGCTGAGACCAACTGTGCTCTTCTGGAGGCTGCAAAAACCGAGCCATGCAATCAGGTTTGCCTTGCTCAGGGGACAAAGGCCTTCATAAAGCACGGTTATTAAAACTGGCTGATTGCAAATGCAGTTCTTTTTATTAAGGGACTCTTGTTTGAATTAACCTCCCAAATCTAAGTTTAACTTTTCAATTTTGTGTTTCGTATGCCCACTTCCTCAAGGAGGAGAATTATTTATATTCAAGGCACAGGCTGCTTATGGAGAATTGATGTAGGCCCTGTATTACTGGAAAACATGAAGGAGTTCCACAAAGTACACTATTATTGCCTAAGTGTGATTCCCCTTAAAAATCATCATTGTATTGTATTTATTTTGTGTTACTCAAACCCTTTTTAGCTCCCAGTACTTCCAGTTTATCACATGCCACTACATCAAACTACTGTTGAAAGCATAAAAAAATGGCCCATTGAATCTCTTTTTTTTATTCTTATTCTTGCTGGCTATGAAACTATTTGAGGCACTTGTTAACAGTTCTTACATGTAACACCTTGACCATCATTCTAAAATATATTGTGTAGGCCATTCTTCCTGTTGGCGTTACAAATAAACTTTTCTCTCTTGATTTTTCGTTTTGGCTTTAAAATATATTCAAATGGACATTTAAAATCATGTTTTACTTTTTTGGCAGTGTTACATTTGATCTCTCATGTTAACCCACATCTTTCTTTTCCAAGAATTTTTCAAAGCCCATATATCCAATGTCAAATGTATTATACTTATTGAAATTTGTAATGAAATGAATACTATTCTTTTGGCCCCCAAATAGTCGTATCAAACAAGCTATTTGAAATGCTATCAAAGTTCAGAGTTCAAATTTAAAGATTTATGCATATTTTCTTAGGTAACTAGTGAATAGGATACCAAATCAATAAAGCTAGGATAAGATTTGTCCGTCTCTCAAACCATGGTTTTTAAGTTTCCATTTTATTCTTCAAATCCTACTTTGAGCTGAAAATGATTCTGTAATTTTATCATTTGACTACTGTAAAATATAATCAGGGATTTGAAACCTGTGTGAATTTATCACAACTGAAAACAAAATCTTCCCTGGAAGAGGTTAATGGAAAAAGAAATAATAGGAGGTGGAAGATAAACTGCTTCTTTCAAAACTGGAGCTGCAAACAGCATTCTAACTAATTCAGATAAGCAGCAAACATAGTTGTTAGGGGATATTTATGACAGCTGCATCTGTGTGACAGCACTGAAGCCTTAACAATGGCGGTGGGCTTTCTATAAAACACATCTGCAAGAAAGACAGGTAGATAGGCTGGCTATCAATCATCAGGACACGTGAATAATTCTATACATACTGGCCTATGTGCTGTTGAAGTCAGCTCTATATGCATAGAAAAGCTTGCTCTTCAGTAATGGAGACATGGCAATGAGTCGTTTTTATTTTTAATTCTTTAAAATGTGTGTTCATACATCATTTGAAAAAAAATCCAACAATAGCTCTGTTTTCAGGTATATTAATAGTTAATTTTTGACTTATTATCCTACCCATGTTTCATTTAATTGAATGGAATCCTTCCTACAATCCAAAACAAACAAATTGCAAGCCATAGTTTGGAGATTTCTCAAAACTTATTCAGAAGCTAGGCTCATTTTTAATTTTGAATCTCAGAAAATTTAAATGGTGCATGCAACCACTGTCTATGTAAGTAACTTTTGAAGGCACAAATAGAGTAAAAATTATAGCCAAATAATAAAAAGGGGTCTTCTCTGTCTTTTGTCAGATTCAGATTCGCATAACTTCCATTTATGCTAATGGGAGTTCAGCACCTGCTCTGCAAAGAAAATAGACCCCTATCTGTGAAAATAAATGTGTACAGTGTATTTTCCAGATATAATGCTGAAATCAAACAACCAAAAATGTGTGCTATATAAACACAGCATCATGTGACCTACCTGAAAACATTGCTGTTTTATATTTTACCTCTTGAGTCATAGGCTGTGGGATATTACTCATGTCTTTGTCATTTAAATGTAACAAAAAGAAAAAAAAAAGGGAGATGGACAAACTCAGTCTGGTGATTTCAGTGAGCTCATACACAATCCTGTGTTTACCCCTTCAGAAGTTCATAATAAATTGCACCACTAAATCTGGATTCAAGCCACTGTGCTCTCTGCTATCATCTTAAAAGTCATAGAGGATAATTGTACATAATAAGAGAAAGGCATGGTCATGGGGGTACTGAGCTGGGGCTCCCTGCAGCAGCTGCAGCCTCAGCTGGGACAGGAGATGAGGCAGATGACTGTCAGTGACTGGTAACACCAGAGTCCCTTTCTGCAATGCCCTAATCAGGGAGTGCCAGGGCTCACAGGAAGGCAAGACTACCTGGGCTTGAATGGAGATGTTTCCATCAGTGCTCACAGCAGTCTCTCTTCAGGGAGTTCTCAACAATGGTGTGGACAGAGAAAGCCTGTCCCGCTCCACTCCAACTGGGGTAGGCATCTCAGAGATCTTTCCCCAAATTATATTATTAATATATTTTCAGGCAAAATTATGATGTGATCAAAAGAGGGTTGTGGGAGGTGAATTGGGATCTCCAGTACGGCTTTAGCTCTATATGTACCTTGACGTTTATAATGTAGAGTCGTGGCCCTTCTCATTAAACATTTTTAAGTAGTTTTAAGAAACAGGTAATGAGGCAGGGTGCAGTGGCTCAAATCTGTAATCTCAGTACTTTGGGAGGCCGAGGCGAGTGGATCACCTGAGGTCAGGAGTTCGAGACCAGCCTGGCCAACATGGCGAAATCCTGTCTCTACTAAAAATACAAAAATTTGCTGGGTGTTGTGGCATGCGCCTGTAATCCCAGATACTTAGGAGGCTAAGGCAGGAGAATTGCTTGAACCCGGGAGGCAGAAGTGTGCCATTGCACTCCAGCCTGGGCAAGAGCAAAACTCCGTCTCAAAAAAAAAAAAAAAAAGAAAAGAAAAAAAAAGAGAAACAGGTAATGAGAAGATTGTAGTGTGTCCATCCATTTAACTACATTTCTACAGATTTCTCTTTCTTCCTAATGATCTAGGTTAAGGCCTATTTTTTTTTTTTTCTGATTTGCCTCATGAGTGGCATTAAGAGTAACACTCTAGTTGACAGGACCGGCTAATTTGCAGGGTTCAGTGAAAAATGAAAATGTGGCGTTCCTTCCTGACAAATTTTTAACAATTTTAAGACAATGACCCAAGCTCAGGGCTCCCCTAAGCACGGTGCCCTATGCAATTGCACAGGTCCTATACTCTTCAAGACAGCCTCACTTGTGGAACAAGGTCTTGGCAAAAGCTAGCCTACAGGCCCCTCTTTTCTCCCCAGCCTAAAAAAAAATCTCCTCAAATCAACACTGGGAGAATGAATATGAGATGTCTTCCCACAGACATGTATTCAACGTACTGAGGAAAATGGACCAACATTGTGTGCTCTAAAAAACCTACCATCTACTTTTTAATACAGATTGTATTACAAAGCTTATCTAAGAGCATTTTGTCTTCTTTCTAGAGGGTTCTACAAAGCAAGGTTTTCTATCTAAAGGCCAGCATGACTGTGGTTATGAGTTTCGTTTTAATAGGGACCAGGGAACCAATTTTGAATATTGGTAGTGGTGGCAGAGCCTACTGGCAATTTAGTCTTCAATACCTTATTTGTTTCTTCTTGAATAGCTCTTTGCTCGACGACCCTTCCTGCAGTCAGTCATGCACCAGCCTTAGATCAGACCTCTAATTCCAAATGTGCCACCCTGCCATGAAGCATTCCATCTGGCCTTCCGCAGTTTAGGTGATTTGGAAGGCTGAGAAGGTACTTGTCTAGAGGGTGCACTTCTCTTTAAGCACAGTTATGTTCTGTCAGTTCTGGGCTGGTGAACGATCCTATAGTAATCACAGTAATGGCAGCATTTGCCCTTAAGGGATCTACCTCTTTCAGAAGTGGGCTGCAGCTAAGCCTCAGATGTAGGGAAGTCATTTTTCCTTTTAGTACATTGTACCTCTACAGACGAGGTCTTCAGCGATTTAGAATAAAGCTTTGTGGTGACAAAGAGAAACACAAAAGTTCCCCTTCTACCCAAATAAATATAATTTATAAAAATACTTATAAAACCACAGTTAAGGCAATTATTTTGTTAAGTCTGAGTTTTTCTGAGCTATAGATTGCTTTGTATATGATCAAACAATACCTAAAGAACTCTTCAAGTGTATAAGCTTATCCTGATTTTCGGTCATTCAGAGAAGGGCTAGAGATTGTAATATTACCTACTCTCAATAAAATAGTATATCCTTTCTTTTTCTTGGTAGTGAATTTGTAGGGATAAACAGCCCTACAAATTGTTTGGCCTATTATATGTCACAGAGATTTTTCTATAGCCTGTCTAGACTCCAGACAATAGGCGAGACTGGCCTATAGTTGCAGACATTTCTATAGTCTGTAATATCACTTAGAAAAGTAAGGGCAATAACATAAAAATGAAAACCAGCCTGACCTGCCAGTACGATAGTACAAATATGAGTATAACAACACTTTACAATTTAGAAATGATGATAGCATCCTAGAAAGAAATTTTAGCAGCCACATATCAGCCAAAGTAACTTTTGTAAAATCATATTTACTCACAAAATATGTCATATTCAAGTAATTCTGTCCAAAAGCTGTAAAATCACTTTTATTGCAGAAAATTCTGTATATATGTCATATTGTGTTTCCTTATTGCATAGAGACAGTGTGTATGAATGTATGTGTGTGCATATATATAGTGTGTATATATATAACATTTAAGTCAAAATAAAGACTTTCCAAAAGGCCTTTTAAAATATAAAACAGATTGTTAAACTAATCTGTTTTTCAGTCCTTTTAGAATACAACAAAGAGGGATAAAATAATATTGTATACAATCTTAAGTGAGTTAAGGGACGTTATGTGTATGCAAAGGAGATAGAGCAAAGAGTTTTTAAATTTTATCTATTTTCTGCCATTGTATCTCTGAGCATGTCTTCATGTGTATTTCTCTCCCACAATTACACTTGTTATAAACAAAGGAAAGGAAAAGGAAGAAAGGAAGAAAGGAAGAAAAGAAAGAGAGAGAAAAGGCTTTTTTTTTTTTTAACATTCTCCTTTGCTCTTTTTTATTTTTTAGGAAGTGACCAATAAAGAATATCTGTTTTTGTTATTGTTGTTTAGTTTTACTTTGATGAGGGCCATGAGAAAGATACATTAAACATAAAGAATACTCATTTAAGAAAAATACTGCTGTAACACTACTGGCGGTATTTCCGACTCAGAGGGTATTCTCTTTCCCAAAGACTCCAGACTATATCAATAGTCACCAGACCATTTGCATCTTCACCACTGGGGCCAATATTAACAGAGTTTTTGTCACTGTTGGAACTCAGCTTGTGGTATCAGGAGTAGTCAAGGGGATGTTAAATGAAATAGATAACATGCAGTAAAAGCAAGAGATTTTTTTTTTTTACTTAGAATTATGCATCCAGAATAGAAAACTCCCATTTCTAAAGTCATTCGGTTTTTGTTCCTGGCTGAATTTTAAAAAACACCGTCTAGCTTGTTCCAACATAATCAACTATACCATATAGCAGTATATAATATGTCATCAAAAGTTCCATTGTAGAACAAACCATTTAGGATTGCCAAATTTATAGAATGCTGATTGATGAAACCATAAAGAACCCTTCTCAGTGTGATCAGCTAAACCCATCCACCAGGCACTCACAGAGTACTTTCTAGGTCTAGGATGCTATGCATACAAATGTGGTATATTTTCCCCCTGGAATGCAATGTTAGATTCATATTATGCCAAAATAGCATTACATAACGCTCTTATTTTGTTTTGCTTGAAAGTTCAATATTTTCTTTTTCTTTAAGGAAAAAGTTCCTTACCTCACCAGAAATGAAGGTTTTGGTCAACACTTTCTCATACAGTAAAAATAAACACACAATCTTAAGTACAATTGATAGATAATGTAACATTAAATTAAGATCGTATGCAAATTCAAGGAGATTTGTCTGAAATAAAAGGTGTAGTTGTTTTTTTTTTTCCTTTTTTACATGCCATGACATTCAGGAATACTTTGTGTATCATGTAATAAGACATACTAGAAAGGTATATATCTCATATGATAAATTTGAATACCACCAAGTGGCACAAAATTCTAATTAATCACATTCTCAATTGGCTACACTTTAATGAAAGAAAAATAGTATATATGTTAATTGAACATACCAACCAAAACTCAACTTTTCAATTTTAGCATGATATATTTGGCAAACTTTTCTTTTCTTTTCTTTTTCTTTTTTTTTTGAGATGGAGTCTCTCTGCCACCCAGGTTGGAGTGCAGTGGTGCAATCTCGGCTCACTGCAACCTCTGCCTCCCAGATTCAAGTGGTTCTCCTGCCTCAGCCTCCTGAGTAGCTGGGATTACAGGTGCCTGCCACCATGCCCGACTAATTTTTGTATTTTTAGTAGAGATGGGATTTCACTACGTTGGCCAGCCTGGTCTCGAACTCCTGACCTCGTGATCCACCTGCCACGGCCTCCCAAAATGTTGGGATTACAGGCGTGAGGCACCGCACCCAGCCTCTAAACTTTTCATTCTCATGAAATTAGTGGGAAGTGCCACACTCCATCACAGGATGATGGGACATTCTACAGGACTCTAAAAGGAGCTTAGATTGTTAACTTAAGTGTTCTGTGCATGGAGACAGAAGATCAAATTAGGCCCTAAGGAAGTCTCGCCAAACTAGCATTGAAGTCAATGGAAATTTACAAGCACGTTAGAGAGGGTCCTTGTGGCCTACAAGTTCTTGCTAATAATTTCACTAGGTTTCTAAAGTAGATACACAAGTCAAAACAGTAACAACAACACAAATACACACGTACCTCTCCAACGTCATAGACCCAAATACGGCCTTCCGAGTCCCCAACAGCAACTTCTTTGCCAGCTTGGGCCCAACGAACACGGTTTAGGGCGGATGCCCCCTCAATGGCCACACTTGCTGTTGGAACCTGCCAAAGGGTTCACAACAGAATAAAAGAATCTCTGAATATGAATTTAAATATACAAATTTACAATAATACGTTTAACTGGATGAGTCACCAACTGCCTTCATGTGCATTAAGTAATACACATCCCTTGTGCCGGGGGGAAAAAGGGCTCATTGTTCTTAAATCATATGCTCCACTGAATTAAGGGGTAGAGAGAAGAGACACTTTAACAAAAAAGAAAAGGAGGGAGAGTCTTTTTACATAGTCACCGGGCAGTAAGTGGCATGAATATTTCTTTGGATTATGACAAGTGTACATCCAACAAAAAATACAGGAGCTAAATGGGATCCTTCCCCATAGGGTCATAGTTTATGGACAGATGGAGAGAGACAGATCTCAGGATTTACCAAGATTAAGGATACTAAAAAGGCAGAAAGCAGGTGTATGGTGGAATAAAAAAGTCATATTAATGTGAGTCTTCAAGGAAAAAGTAAACATATGTATTGATCTCTCAAACCTCATCAGGGAGGAGATGATCAGAAGAAAAAAGGAAAACATAAAGATAAAAAAAATTTTTCAAAAAACTCAAATTCTCTCTCTCTCTCTTTCTCTCTCTTTTGTTAAATCTGTCTTCCTCCCTCTGGCAGTACCGAAGTGTAATAAGCGATCCACAACTTTGGCACTGTCTCCAGGGTGACATCGTGATAGAATACAGCCACCCACTCATAGAAAATGCCTTATATCTCCTTTAATAAACACTTCAAATCTAAAAGCATTGATAATTATAACAATAATAATAATTAAAGTGAACTGGAGGTGCTGCAATGGAACCTGTAGTATTTGTTCCAAGAGCCTCAGTATTTGGAAAGACTTTTTAGTGTGTCTACCTCTCTCCCATTATCAGTTGTGTAAAAGCTTGTCTTCAAGGTTAGAAGTTTATAATTGACATAAAGCTCAGATCTCTTGAGCCTTTTACAAGAATGTTGAATAGGAAATGACAACATGCCATTAAGAAAGGAAAAGGTAAATATTAAAACATAAAGAAAAAATACAGTGAAAAGGGGGCCACTAGGATCATCTCATGCCACTGTTTAAGACCTGTGTCTAATAAACATGTCGCATTAGAATGGAAACACAACATGTACTGTGGCTTAGCACCACCGGCATTTTGTTATTCAGGGAATTGAAACCATCTGTTTATACGAAATTATTGACCCAATACCTATCTTTAAAATAGCAATAAAAACTCCATCATATATAAGAATCTATGTTTAAACTTAATCTTGAAATCAATAAAAATTCTTTCACCCGCTTAAATCACTGTATGTCAATTGTGAGCAAAAAAACAAAAAAACAAAAAAAAACCCCAAAAGTCCCCGGCTCATTTATTTTTTAAAAATACACAATTTCTATAATAAAAGTACCTGCTGTGCAAGCTAGAGTCTGAATTTTTAACCAAATCTTTCAGAGGCTGAAACAATGTGAATTTAGATGGATCATAATGCTGTCAATACACTTTATTATGACTGTGCTGCCCAGAAAACAAATCTGTGATTCAACTATAGACTCTTCAAAGTTAATTTTTAATACCATAATTTAGAAGGTTCATACAGGATTCTTGCTTAATTCTATTACCTAATTCCATGAACAATCTGATATTGAATAGAATTAGGTAATCTATGAACAATCTTAAAAATAGAATAAAATGTTTAATCTTAATACGAATATAACAAAAAAATCACTGAAAATAAACTGACATTGTGACACATTTAAAATAATACCTAATACATTTTCAAGAATTTTTATTTGGAATATAAGTACTATAACAAAGTGAAACAATATTTTAAACATTTAAAAATAGTTTCTTTTCATATATATTACAAATGATAGAAAATAATGATCACAGCCTATATTATGCGCTAGAAAATTCATAAATGCATGAAGAAAATGACAAAATATATTTGCATTAATCCGATCAGTAATGACCTTTCAAAAGTTGATGAATAATAAAAAACAATTCATATGTTCTCTCTGTCTCTTATACTGTACTTTGTTTCACAAATATTTCCACAGTTTTCCTGGCTCAATCATTTTAATTGCAAAGGCAAGATTTATATATCATAAATTATTACATTAAGCAGTAGAAATCAGAAATACTGAGGTGGGAAATATGAACTATCCTTGCATAGGAACAGCTGGAATAACCTGGTCCAAAAATGTAATAATAAAAACAACAACCAAACATACTGCTCTACTGATAATTCAGATTTTTTTAAGAAATCTAATTTTTAAGAAAAATCTTGTTCAACTTGCCAGAAGACAAAAATGATTTGAAGGTTTTAAAAAGTGTTCGGTTCATTACTGGATTTGAGCTGGACTCAATGTATCTCTACTATTATTGTTAAAGCAGAATTATGTTTACCACAAAACTAAACAGTTTGCATGACCAATAATGATTTTTAAAAAATGTTTAGCTATGAAACTCTTATGTGGTTGTCTCTTGATATCTAGAGAAAGAGAAGGGAAAAAATTATATTTATCAATGTTGAGACATTAGTTTCATTTTACCTAAAAAAAATTTAAAAGAAAAACAGTTACATAGGAATTGTTAAGGAGTTTGTAGAACACTCACTCCCTTCATATGCATTGTAGTTGGGTATCACTTAAACATCTCAACTAAGCTGGATTTCTACTACAGCGGTCTCCTAAGTCAATCAGGAAAATGTTAGTTTTTTTGGTTGCTTTAAATGAATGAATTTCTCCTAGCAAATAGAAGCAATATGATTTTAATAAACAGTGATGAAGACTCTGGGAAACCCTTACAATGTAGGGTAATAACATCTTTCTATTAAAAACAATAATGTTATAAACATTTCAACATCCAAATGATGGGACATTTCACATACTCATGCCTTTTGATTATTTTCAAAGATGCTTCATTACCTAACTCATTCTTGTCACAGAATTCTTGTAGCTAAAAGCAAAAATAGACTCAAATTGAAAGATTTTTAAAAGATAACTACTTGGCAGCAATTATAGGTGTATATACCCTTGAAGATACAAAGACTTAATAATAACACCTGAAGAATATTTCCCTGCCCCCTCCCACACACACACACACACACACACACACACACACACACAAATACTAGGGAAGTGTGCTCCTCCTCAGATCCTCCAGCTGTGGGCTTCCTAATTAAAAAGGCTGAGCTGTTTCCTGCTCAAAACACTTCAAAAGACCTTTTTGTTGTTCTCCACTTGACATATAGTTCGCAGCACTTGTTCCTCTTACCTGTCCATTCTTATTTATAGAGAGCTTTCTTGAATCAGAAACCAAGAAGTGATGCAGAGACCATTTTATTTTATAAAGTTGAAGGACAATAATATTTATGTTAAAAAAAAATCCAAGTAGCTGAATTAGCAACTCAGTAATTTTGCTAGACTGGCAAAAAGGAACAATGCATGTGGCATAGTTTTTAAAACATAAATTTTTATAGCATAATTTAAAAACAGTATTTATTACTGGCTGATTTTTAAAATAAATGGGTATTTTCACTTGCTGTAAATGTGACATGTTAAAATCTATTTTTAAAAAAATACTGAGTTTGATATTCATGTTTAAAGTTGGAGACTGTTGTAAAAGTCTGCCTCTGAATTTGATATCTTAGACAAGGAATATTTACCTTGGTACAAATCAAATGGATGAGAGATCTAAACATAAAATAGTCAACAGAATCGTCTTTTGTGGATTCAAAATAGAAACGGTACAAGTAGCAAACACTGACAAATAGCCCTTTTTAAAAGCCCAATCTAAAAATCGACGTCCACAAAAGCTTTCTTTTCCAAGTATTTGCCTATAAAGTTATTTCAACACGGCTCTGACAAATGCCTGTGTGTCCTGTCCCATAGGGAAAGGTGTGAACGCATAACGTTTTGCTCTTTGCAAAAAAGGGTCGTTAATTGTCCGAGAGCAGCCACCGTTTAGGGATGAAGGGAGATTAAGTGATTTTTGGCCAATGCATCTGCCAATTCCCTTCAGGGTAGTCAAGAATGGGGGCCGGCAGCCCTGCTGCAGTTGGAAGGTCTGTCCAAAAAAGGCCGTTTTGGAGAAAGAGGGAGAGACTGCGAGTGGCCGACTGCGCCCCCCTCCCAGCCCTCCGGCCCGGGCGCCTGAGCCGCCGCTCACCTCGGTGTCATTGTTGAGGTTCCAGAGGTCCAAGCGCCCCATCCCGTCCACGCAGGCAAAAAGCGCAGGATGCACGGGGGACCACATGACATCGTACACATAGTCTGCATTGTCTTCAAAGGAGTAGAGCGGCTTGTTGTGCTGTAAAGCAGAGAGACCGTGAAGACTTTGTGGCGCTGCTGCTGCCTCGGGCTGTCTAGAGAGCCTAATTAAAAACTTTGCACATTCACAAAGTGTCATAAAACTTCCCGAGATGAAAGTCCTCGAGAAGGTGAACCGGAGCTTTAATGTGACTAGAACTGTCCAGTGGCATAAATAAATACCGGGGGGAGAGGGGGCCTCTCAAGGGGCTGGTGGCTGGGACCGGGGGTGGGGAGGCGGTTTCAGACAACAGAGTTGTATGAGACATTCCAGACAGGTGGACCGGACTTTCCATTAGTTCGGAATTCTCGCCCGGCAACGCTTTGCGAGATGCTCGGAGCCTAAACCCAACCGTGGTCGGCCCGGCTCAGACCCGCGGGGATGTTCTGAAGCCCCGGCGGTCCCGACCGCCCCGAACCCTTTCATTGAAGGCAACCCCTGCCACCTCGTGGTCCTCGTCTGTAGCTGCAACAGCTGCTGCTACCTCCAGTCCAACTCTAGGCCAAATTCACATTTTAAGGGTTCTTTTGCAGAGAGGAATGCGTGCAAATATTTTAAAGAGGATTACTGCTCTTCCAGGAGGTAATCATTTCGCGATCCTACGCCTTTAGTCTCTCTGCATAGGGTCAGCTCACCCCAATCAGTTGAACTGGTGTGGCTCATTGAAGTGCCCCTGAACCTCTGTACAAAATGAACAGTATTCCTAGATCACCCAGTGTTTTCAAAACCCCCAAAATTGACTTTTGGGTGTTGGGGTGTGTGTGTGGAAATGCGTTAACATACCCCTAGTGCATACAAATGCTTCCACTCCAGAGGGATACAATAAATTAAAATGGCACTCTTGATTTCCAGTGAATATTGTCACATCAAAATAGCACAGAAGTCAGAGGCAAGTTTGAAAGTACACCAGAAATAAAACGTAATTGGACTTCATGAATTATTCATTCCATCTGGCTTGTCTTATTCTAATTTCTGCATAATGGCTTTACTAATCCCTGATCAATTAATGTAAAATGAAATTTAAATGATAATGAAAGCCCTAGAGATAAAAGAAATTAAGTATTCTTATATCCTCTGACAGAAATCTAAACAATGGGAGTTTTTTTCCCCAATGTCTTCTTCATCCAGTCAGCTGTCTGTACTCTCTTCATGGGTTCCACTGAATGCCTGTACAGGCCAGAGTAATAAGATCAAGAAAAGATAACATGCAATATGAACAATCAAATCCTATCTGCACAGAATGTTTAAAGAATGTATCTGTAGGGAATCGGCTCCAAATATTAGAGTGATTTCTCCAAGTGAACTGTTAATATAAAATGCACAAAATATCTCTGCTGAAATGAAAGTGAGAAAAATCAGTGTGAAAACAATAAAACTGTAACCTAAATATCACACAAAAATGTAGTGTAGTAACTGTGAGTTCTCTTTCTATGGACTGTATTTCTTTGACATTTAAAAATCACCGCTTAGAACTGAAGAAACTTTTTTTTTTTTTTTTTTTTTTTTGAGACGGAGTCTCGCTCTGTCGCCCAGGCTGGAGTGCAGTGGCGCGATCTCGGCTCATTGCAAGCTCCGCCTCCCGGGTTCACGCCATTCTCCTACCTCAGCCTCCCGAGTAGCTGGGACTACAGGTGCCCGCCACCAGGCCCGACTACTTTTTTTTGTATTTTTAGTAGAGATGGGGTTTCACCGTGTTAGCCAGGATGGTCTCGATCTCCTGACCTCGTGATCCGCCCGTCTTGGCCTCCCAAAGTGCTGGGATTACAGGCGTGAGCCACCGCGCCCGGCCTGAACAAACTTTTAATACATTAAAGCAACACAGAATATTTTAGATGGGCCACTATGTGGATATAGTGAGATGTGTCTTATTTTTAATTCAAAAAATATCTGACAGAGGGTGTGATTTGAAAAGAATTATATGACATTGAGATAACAAAATGATCAACTGGACATTAGCCTTATAGTTTTTTAAATTTTATGATTCTATAATTCTTTTATGCCAAAGTATGTATTATGTACTATGTTTGCAGTGTGATTTGAAGCCAAAATTATTTGCTTATTGGCTATTTCTGTAGCATCTTTCTTTCTCTCCCTGTTTGGACTACATGATTCAAACTACTTTCTCGATAAAACCTAACTGTCCAATGACACCTGAAAATAGCATAATTGTATCATTTTTCCTTATTTATATTTTTTAAAAGGCAATGTGGAGTGGCTGCACCTTCAATGACTACTTGTAAATATTAAATTCTAACTCTCAGTAGAAGATTATTCCCACTGCAAATTCTTGATTTTATAGCTAGCCAGCCCACTATTTGTTAAAGAACACGAATAACAAATTTTTCTCAAAGTCAAAGGGTGTTAAAGGTTTATATATGCTTTAAAAAGTCAATTGTCAGGATCCTCATCAACTCAGCTGATAGTATATCTGAGGGTATAGAGGTCTTCATACAGATAGACTCATACAGACCTATACTAAACACGTAACACAATTGCAAATCCTTATTTTGATCAATTAAAAGACCATCCAGCTTTAAACAGTCATTTTCTAAGGAACTGATATTATTTGATACATTAATTCTTTAATTATCCTGTAAATCTTCAGTGTTTTATTTCCTTTTTTGTTTTAGTAGTTTCTTCTCTGAGAAATGTAACCAAAACTGTAGTATATTCTGGAGACTTCACATTTTAAGTATCTGGAAATAACTGCTATTGTTCATGTTACCAAAACCCAGTTTCTTATATTTAATAGTATTGATTGAAATGCTATTGCTCTCTAGCCTTTCTCCAACCTCCTTATCACCCTTCACCCCAAGACTGAGCCTTTTATTATAAAAGTTGCTGTGCAAATAATTCTAGGCTACAGTACGTGTGTGTTTGGGAGAAGGGAGGAAGGCTTATATTTTCAAAGGCTCTGTTTAACATTGATAAATTCACAGGTTGGGAAAGTCTTGATCAGGATTGATTGAACTTGTTATCAAAGTACCATGTAGGTTGACATCTGTGAACCACTAATTGCCAAGCAAAGCACAAGCATAACATATGGGCACAGGCGAATGTCACTTACAATAGTGCTCTTTGAATATTAGTTGTGTTTTTTGATAAAGGGATTTTATTATTCTATTTTATTCAGGCTCAAAGGGTAATCTGAAGACCTGATTAAAAAAATCTGTCTCATGCATAAAATATTTTAAGGTAAACTCATGTATATCATAAAGTATTAGAACTGGTAAACTCATGTATATCATAAACTCATGTATATTTTGAAGTATTAAAATTTTCATAAAGAAGTTAAAAGCATGAGGTTCTAAAGATTCTAAAGATTTTGAATTTATGAGACATAAATTTCTGGATCCACAAACATGTTATAGCTTGCTTGTGCTTTACCACTCATTTTAGAATACTGCAAGTTTTGAAAAGGCTGGAGATGATGGGGGCAAATTTGACCAATAATTGTGAGAATGAATCTTATAATACTATTTGTACATATGAAAGCCACAGAAGCTTCATGATTTTAAAGATTTACTCTACAAAATTCTCAAGGCCAGTTAGTAAATGAAATATTGTTCCACAGCAAGTTACTGTAAAGAACATTTTTCAAAACAATCAAATTTCACTAGAAAAAAAAACCCCTTCACCTGTGTTTCCTTTTCTATGTCATGTTCAGTATCAGCAAACTGTTAAAGAAAAGGGAAAAAGGAAAACTACACTGTTACACGGCCTACTGCACGTGTGGTACATGTCAATGAAATAAAATTGTGACACCTTGTGCTTCCAGGGCTGTTACAATAATGGTAAAGTATCCAGGCACAGCCCAGCTTGATTTTAATACTCTGACTCAAACAGAGCAGAGAAGCGGGCTACCGGTCACCTCCCAGGCAGACATGAAGGGCAAGGGAGGGTAAATTTTTGGGTGTTCGTTGTGTGCCTGACTCTATATGTACATTGTCTAATTTAATCCGCATAAAATCTCTGTAAAGTAGACGGTATTTACAGAAAAGAAAATTACAGTTCAGGAAAGTTAGTAACTTTCCCAAGGCCACAAAGGTTGTTAAGTGGTAAAGCTGGATTTGGTTCTCAGGTTTTCCTAGCTGTTAAGCATATCCTCTATTTGCTGGGACTATATGGTCCTTCTATAAAACATAGCAATGACCTTCAGTCCTTATTTAAAAAAGACAATAGATCTGTTACCTCTATTCTTTACTCTCCCATTCAATTCCATCAATATTTACTAAGCACATACTATGTAACTTGTAGAAACAGTTTAAAAATAATGCAGTCAGATGCTTATTTCATTTCCTGAGTCTGTTAATGATCCTGAGGATGTTATCTATATATTTGCAAGAGTCTTTAGCACCTTGTGAGATGAACAGGAATCTTTTTCTCCTGAAAGCTAGAAAAAGTACAGGAATGGTCCTTTAGACAGTAAAGATGAACAGCAGGCTACGCAGTGGAGAGTGGAAAAAAATGATGTCAGAAGGTAAAGACCTGTTTCAGTTCACTGAAGGTTTGTATGACTCTGGGTGAGGGACTATAATTATATTATCTGAAAGATGGGAATAGCAAAGGTAGCATGGAGCAGAAAAGGTAATGGGAGAAACTGGAAAACTACAGACCTTGGGAAATTTAACTTAACATCCTTGGATCTTACTTTTCGCATCTTACGATGGAAAGCTGCAGCTACTGACCTCAAGGGCTCCTATTAGCTTTGTGATTCTACAACTGCTTTATTACGTGCTTTGTTACCCTGTGGTAAGGATAGAATGGAAAAAAAGTATGTAAAAATATTTTCCAAAGGTAACTATTATCATTAAAGCCATCTTCCTTTATGTTTTGTGGAGTTCATATCACAGTGATTTTTTTCTTACTCTATATTTCATGAAAACAGACATATAAAATGCACCAGGGTGGTTTTTAATGAAAAAGTTAAAATTATGGAAGTAATAATAAACTTCTTATTTGATCAATTAGAGAAGGAATAAAAATATTAAATTCACATAGGAGAGGCAAGTAGTGAAATCTGTTTAAAAAATGAAACTCACAGCATTCATCAGTGTTTTACAATAAGACTTGATCTCTAGAATTGAGCTTTAGTTTTATAAATATATGTCTGAAAATGAATAGACCTGCAGATTTTCCTGATCAAGTAAACAAAATGATTTCACAAGAGGTGAGTTTCTATTTCTGATGTCAGATATATGCCAAAGTTAAATCTAGAGAATATAATGGTTCTTTTCCTCTGTATTATTTACTTTTCTCTTATCACACGCCTCTAGGCATCCCAATAGGATTTAGTGTTTTGGTGAATAGGAAGATTTGTATTAAAATGTCTCCTAACACCTAAAAATGTTGTGGTTCTCGAGGCTGCATTTGTCTCTAAATGACCCAAACCATGAAAATATCTTTGGGTGGGTAGGTGGTAGGGGGTACCATGTGGGTCGGTGGGAAAAGGGGCATAAAGTAACAGTAAAATTTCTAAGTTATAAATTCTGAAATAAAAGGAAAACTCATGGAATCTTACCTTAAAAACTATATCCTGTTGGGAAAAATGATGACCAAAATAATAAACAATGAGTAATAAGAAAATGTCCTTCAAAAATTGTCATGTGGGTTCCTGTGAAGTAGTTAAAATAAATAGCTAGCTAGTTCTTCCAGGAAACATTAAAATGTGAGACCACAATATCGCTTTTAAAAAACCACCAAAGGACCCCAAAACTTCAGGCTCACACAAAAATGGATGCTTCCACCATAAAAAGAAAGTGCTTAAACAAACAAGTAAACCAAAACTCGCAAACCAAACCAAACCAAACCAAAAAACCAACTCTCTTGGCCCAAGGGAGGTGTTATGAATTTGGTACTATCACTGGGAAACTTTATTTGCAACTTAATTTGAGATCCTTCTAATGCACAAAGTATCCTATATTTATCTTAACTTCTGTGGCTAATATTCAAACAATACTTATGATCTCTAAATGATATCTTTACCTGTGTGTATCGTGGTCAGAAATTCAAAATTGGACATAAACAATTTTGGTGAACTATTCTCAATGGACTATGTATAGTGGTCTATTTGTTTTTTGTGTGCATAAACCAAAATTAGGCAAGGACTTTAACCTGAATTAGTTAATATGAAACAATTTGAAAGAAGGTTATAGAAGTTCAGGAATTTAGCATTTGCTTCTCTATAAATGTAGAAGTTTTGCTAAATAAGTACTGAAGCCACATGAAAGGTGTTCTTTGTTGCACTGCTTCCCTCTACTGCTTATTTGCATGGAAGAATCCACCTAATCCAAGAGGCGCCACCAATAAAGAAGCTAATTATCCATATAAAAGAATGTATACATATTCACAGGTTTTGACTAGTATTGAGTGTTTAAAGCCATGGAAAAAAGCTACAAGCTTTGCTTAATTCATAAAAGGAGTGTTTCCCACACTGGCATGATTTTCATGAATATCAGCTCCACCCAAGGTTCTCATTCAAAACTGGCGTTTTAATAGCACAAATCTATATAGAACCATTGTGAAAACAGTAAGCAAGCAAGGATGCTCTTTTGAATTACCTCTTACAGCCAATTCAATGCCTATGGCTCCACTGACATTCTGGCTTCTTGCTTATTTGAGTCGAGGAGGGCAGAGTCACTATGTCTCCAAAACCAGGTTCAGCCAAGCTGGCTCATTAGCAAAATTGAGGCAGCTGTTCTCTTGATTGCTATTCTCATTCTGGACTGATAGTCTTGCTCTCTGAAAGATCATGTGGCAGTAAAGGAGGCAAGCAGGTTCAAAAGAGCCCCCCTTTGATTGCTTTGCTCCAACTCTATTTTTACCATGGCTGAGTGGTTTCATGTCCAACATGGTATTATTTAGACAAAGAAGCATTCTATATATCTACGATGATCAGGTTGATTAGAGACTTTATTAGGAGACTGGAGGGAAAAGGTGGACATTGGTATTAAGGATTAGGAGGGTGTACAGGGATGAGGATGGACTGGACCTAGAGGCAGCTAGATATGTGGTTGTATCAGGGCCTGGAAGCCTTGAAAAGTTAGAAGAATGAGCAAATAAAGTAGAATATGCAGGCTTGACTTATTTTGCTTATTTATTACTTATTTAATGTCAAATTGTGCAACCACATTTTACTAGTGGATAAGTTAAGTAGCAAAATATTTTCACCCTCGCCCTTAAACTGCCAACCTTTTACTCTAACATCTGGCTAACAACCCATTTCACCTATATATAAATAAATTAAATATACATATGTACATATACACACAATTCTTAAAGAAAGGCATAAAAATATCAGATATAAACTCAGATCTATGGATTACACTTTGATTCCCCCTTCATATTTATTTCTCACATGCTCAGGTAAACATTTTCTAGTTTCCAAAGCTAATCTCACATTAGTGATCTCGCTACATTTAGTAACCATGACATTTAGAAGATTTTATGTTTTTCAAGAAATGTATACCCAAGTGCCCAGATTTATCCTATCAAACATGTCTAATAAAATCTAATGGTAAAATTATCTAAACGTTTAATTCTACCTCTTGCGTCAACAATTGACCATATATATAAAAGACACATTTTCAAAGAGTCAAGGAGAGGTTTTTTATGTAGCTCTGCACTCCCACATCTCCCATTGTTAAATGTTATGTATTTTACATTATATTTAATATGAGTACAGATATTACTTGTATTTATTTTAATGGTGGAGAGAACTAGCATGGAGAATCACAAATAGCAGAAGTTCAACATATTTTGTTCAAATGTAAAATATATTTAATATGCTTCCTGCTTTGTAGCAGATTTGTTTACCTTATTCTGTTTCACTAAAGCCGAATGGAAATCAATTTCTGTTCAAGAAACAAATATGCTCTAAATGTGAGGTGAGGTGATTCAGGATGCTGGAAGTGGCAGTGGGAAAATAGTCTAGTATTAATTATGGGTCCTGGACAATTTGCAAGGTTGAGGTCACAGGAGGCTGGTCAAGATGGACCCACATTGGTTTGGTCCAAAAATAGCTACTTTGGGGATAAAGATGAGTTTTAATTTATCCTCCAACATTAGACTAAAATGTAGGTTAGAGCAGAAAGGTGGGGTGGGGATATCTTTGATCTCATAATTATGTAGATAGTCGTATTTGTTACTCTCATTCTCTCTCTCTCTTTCTAAGTGTGTATGCTCTCTCTGCAACATTATTACTTAGGAGGAGGAGGTTGGGGAAGGCAACTCGTTTAATATATCATTAAAATGAAAAGGAAAACATTTCCACTCTGGTTAAAGGAGCAAAAGAAAGGATTCACCAAGTCCTTACTTGTTGGACAATGGAAAAGCCCAGTCAGCTGAATAAATTTCAAGTCTCAAAAGTGTTTGTACCTTTATGAATTATTCACACGTCTGCATAAATATTTAACAGCCATAGGTATGTGTTGGTGGATAAATGTATGAATGTTTGGGGGTGGGTAGGGTAGAGGTGGAGGTAAAAGGACAGGAAGTATGAACACAGGCCAAGTCTGGAGGTGACTTTATGATTACATTCTTGTGGTTTCTTTCAAAGTCAAAGTATTCTCCCTGGGTGAGCTTTAAGAAGAAATAAAAAAAAAAAAAAAAAGGAAAGAAAGAAAAGAATTTGATGACTGGCACAGGTAGTTTCATTGAAAGCCAATTTTAATGTTTGCCATCTTATGTTAGGAAAGGGGAATGAAAATGGGGATAAGGGAAGAAAAAAAAATAAGTCAGACACCACCTGAACATTGTGTTTGTTAGAAAGGCAGCCAGCAGGGCTTTGGGGTTGCGGGAAAAAAATGCACTCTGTTATCTGGTAAGTGTTACTGGCAGTAAACTATTGATTTTGTTAATCCTCTTGCCTGTTTTAAGTCTTATGTCTAGATGCCGGTGATAGCTAAAACTTCAACTTTTTATTTTTATGACATGTTTTTTCTGATATTTTGAACATTTACCAAAATGTTCAAAATATCAGAAGATGTTTATTTCTCCTGCCGTTAGCAGAAATAAAACACGGTAAGGTCCCTTTGTTAGAATGATGTCATTTTAGGAGATGTTTCTGTCTCAATTTAAAATAATCCAACTTACTTTAACAAGGCACATATTTCAGCAATGATTTATTAAGGACCTAACATATGCTTTCTTCTTTGGGTAATCAAAAGAAATACAGGAACTGATTTTGTTCTCAAGCACAAACAATCCAGGTAAGAGAATGAAAATTATGATATAATAAGAGAAGAATATTGCTTATTTGGGGATCTGTTTTCTCACTTTGTTCTAAAAGGATTTATGGAGTCTTACAAGTTAAATATACTGCAAAATTAAGAACAAACACACAACAGAGTTCTAAAGAAGGGAGGTAGAATACATAGCTATTACCAGGATCCTGAGATAAGCTGATTATTACAATATGGTTCTGCAACAGCTCTAAATTTCCTGATAACTAAGACAAAAGGGAAAACACATCATATCACAAGGAGGTACCCAGGTTTTTACCATCTGAAGAAAGGAAGAATATAAATTCCCCCTCAAAGACACAATTCTGGGAAAAACTCTGGGAGGAATTTACCATGTCTGCAAATCACTGGAAAACAGACTGGCTCTCTGCCTTGTTTATACCAAAGAAAGAGAACAAGTATGTAGCCAGGTGCTAAATTCTGTGGTACAGATGTTAGGTGCCAGAGGAATTTGAAGATTGGGGGTGGTAGTGGTGTGTTGGTGTTACCAGAGTCTGATGTGGTCAAGGATGGTATTATCTAGGACAGGTGAGGGAACCTGCCTTGAAAGATACATAGACTTTGACAGATGGTAAGGAAAACAGTCAAGAAGAGGAGAGCAAAACATGCAAAAACCTGGTTAAGTCAGTATGGTATTCCCAGACGGATATAAAGATGAGAGGTGGGGACAGCCTGAGTGAACTCTGAGGATTTGTCCTAAGAAATAATGAAAACAAAATAATTTTGGTTTGGGTAGGGGAAAAGTGGGGTATGTTATGAAAAGTCTTGGGTATGTAGTTAAAACTTTTTGCTGCAATTAGCTATTAATGTATTAAATGTGCATTGATAAATGTGCTATGTGCTAAACAGATTCAGAGATGTTTAACATTCACAAGAGTGTTTTCAGCTTTTCTAGTGCAGTCAACTGAATGACGAATACCATTAAATGAGTAGAAAATAGAAAAAATAGAGAAATAGAGGAAGGTCTGATCTGTATTTTAAACACAGTGCATTTGAGTCTCTGGTAGAGACACTCAGGTTAGGCTGACAGTGGAAGTGCAGGTCTGAAGTTGAAAGAGAGAGTGGGCCTGAAGTCCACACTAAAGAATCAGTCACACGAGGTGCTGTGGGAGAGGAAAGAGCCGGGATGCTCGGCGCGGTGGCTCACGCCTGTAATCTCAGCGCTTTGGGAGACCAAGGCGGGCAAATTGCTTGAGCCAAGGAGTTTGAGACCAGCCTGGGCAACATGGCGAAACCCTGTCTGTACAAAACAAACAAACAAACCAAAAATTTAGCCAGGCATGGTGATGAATGCCTGTAGTCCCAGCTATTTGGAAGGCTGAGGTGGGAGGATCAATTGAATCCTGGAGATAGAGTCTGCAGTAAGCCATGATTATGCCACTGAACTCCAGCCTAAGCCACGGAGAGAGACCCTGTCTCAAAAAAAAAAAAAAAAAGAAAGAAAGAAAAAAAGAAAAGAGTGGGGAGGATGGAGAAGAAGGAGGACTATGGAGGAAATTTTGAGCATTTGGGCTGAGAGAGTAGAAGAGAGAGAACCAGTGGAGAGGACCTAGACAAAGCAGGAGAACATAACTGGGCTAGAGAGAGCTGCAGGAATGAGGGGTGGATAATACCAAGAAACCATTGAATGTAGCAATTAGGAATTCGTTGATGGTCTTAAACTGAGAAGTGTTGGAAGATTAATATGGTTGGTTGAGGGTGGTTGGCAAATGTGGCAATGGTCCATGTGGGTGCACGCTGATTCTTCAAGTGGTTTGCAAGCTAACCCAAATTTTAGGCCATGTTTGAGATATTTTAATCGAACCCATCTAATCATCAACCACTAATATCTAAGCAAATCATAACACTACTACATGAGTGTGTGTCTAGGGCTGCCTTTTTTTTTTTGCCTTAAGACCACCCACTGTCCATTTAGATACACCATCCTTGATTTTTTGGACCATTTCTTACTTTGCTTTCTGTCTCAAGCACTTGGCATACAATCTGGCAAATGGAAGGCAGATAAGATGGACTGTAATTAGGTGATGAACGCAGCCTTGAGTTCAGTCCTATTTTGTCTGACACCTGTGAACAGAGCCTTCAGCCTTCCTCTGATGCTCTGGGCTTGGGCTTTCCTAGACTCCCCAGGACCAAACCTCTACTCTCTCAAATGGATTTTTGATTTGGCATCCTCCTTGGGATAACTATTGTGCTTCTAGCATGTTACCTTGGTTCAGAACCTTTCCCCTCACTTTGGTACCTTGAGATGTAACCTCTGATGAAGGTCACATTTGCTGCCCAGTCATGGCAAAGATTTCAGCATGTTTGAACACCACGGGAAAAGATCAGGAAACTGCTACTGAGCAAGAAAGCTATATGAAAAATCGTAATGAAAGGTAGGCCACTAGTGAGTTGGATAGTAGGAAATCTAGCCACAAATTTCCTGTGGATCACAGGGACAAAGCAATGGAAATTAAATGTCTGATTAATTGTATCTCATTAAAAACAAATAAACTTATCCTTTGACTTAAAGCATCAGTATGTCCCTGAAACACACAAATTTCAATTGGAGAGACACTGAGAGAGGGAGAGAGAGAGAGAGAGAGAGAGAGAGAGAGAGAGAGATATGAATATTTCTTTCCATGAAATATTCTGATATGTTTGGTCTGGAGAAGAACAATGATGCTTAGAAACAAGCACTGACTCTAAAGAAGCCTGAATCCAAACCAGCACCACAGGGCAACTAAATACCCTGCACCAGTCAGTAAATGTATTCTGAAGATGGTGATCAACGGTCTCTGCATTCAGCATCAGCCAAGCCACCTCTCCCGCTAACCACATTGCATCAACTGTTCCCGCTGCTTTCCCTCGACATCCATGGGTCCTTCAAGGTTCTGTTGCCTCTGGGATTCAGCCTTGGAGAGACTGGAGCCCTTCAATATAAGGATTAGGAGGTGGCGGTAGTGAAAGGCCTTATGGTTAACTCTTTATTTGTCCATAACCAAGGATCAATTGTGATAATGAAATATCTTTAGCTCTTATGGGTGGAATTATCACCCTCTCTCTCCATCATCAAATTCATATGGTGATGTCCTAATTCCAGTACCTTGGAATATGAGACTGTTGTTTGTGGAGGTAAGGTCTTTAAAGAAATAATTAAGATTAAATGAGGTTGTATGGGCGGGCTGTAATCCAGTATGACTGGTGTTCTTATAAAAAGAGGAGATTAGGACACAAACGTGTACAAAGGGAAGCCCATGTGAAGACACAGGGAGAAGGCAGCCACCTACAAGTCAAAGCGAGAGGCTTCAGAGGAAACCAACCCTGATGACACCTTGATCTTGAACTTCTAGCCTCCAGAACTATGAGAGGATGCATTTCTGTTGTTTAAACCAGGTTGTGGTAGTTTGTTATGGCAGCCCTAACAAACTAACATAATTCTCAAATGAGAAGAGAAGGCAGACTTTTTTTTTCCTCTTGGCCTCTAATGCACAGACACATGCGCACAGTTCCCCACAATTCTGCACTTATGTAATTCCCCCAACAGTGCAATTTGAGAGAGAAAGAAGGCAATTTCTGAGCAGCTATTTCTCTCCTTCCTAAACACATCCCTTTGCAATCAATGACTACGGCTCAACCATCAGCTATATTGCGCCTCCATTGAAAGAGGCAGGCTGCCTGTAATGAAAGAAAACACACACATACACACACACACACACACACACACATATATATACACACACACACACACATACACATATATTCCCCTTTCTGAAGACAGCAGAGCCTCTTTTCAACTTAGCTTTAAGTCATACTCATAGTTCTGTGATGTTCCTGATACCACCGGGACAAATATGGATGGAGAGTGGAAAGCTAATACAAACAGGTCAAACCACCCCAGGGACACAACTCAGCTTGAACCAGAAATTATAATTCAGTTCAATCCAGTCAGTCAGTTCTGCCTTGAAGACAGCTACTTTTTCCTGAGACAGAAGTCTTCTGCACCGGAGTTTAAAGTTTCATTTGGTTTAATTTTGTCACCCTCTGCAGACTTCTTTTTATTTTAGAAATGGTGGCTACAGGGTGAGATGGGGAGTGAGTTGGGAGAGTCCTTAATCAGCTGCCTTCAAGGCTAATTACTGTTGAATAGGTTCCTGAGGTTGGAAAAATTTTGAAGAATTTTTGAATACATTTCTGCAGTTCTCTTAACAATAGGATCTATCAAACAGCAAGGCAAAGGCTCTGTTTAAAAGCAAAGACAGAAGATCAGAAGAATATGTCTGATTGCCGAAGCGACTAACTTATATTTACACAGTATTAATGATGCTACAGTAACAAATATCTATAGCCTGGTTTTGACAGTTTACTGCAAGGGTTCCCATTGTTTAGAGAGAAAAAAAAAAAGAAAAAAACAAAAGAAGGAAAGTATTCTATTTTGCTAAATTTCCATTTGTTAACAAAACTCCCCATAAGCAAAACCAGAGGTCATTAGCAAACAACCAAAACATGTCTGTCTCCGGAAGAATACAGGAATACAGCTCCCTTCATCATTTAAAATACAGCTCTGCTGAAAACCCAAATCATGATAAATCCTTAACATGAAAAATTCAGTGCAGACTTGAAACCACCTGACTTTACTTTAGGTTTGTGCTCCTTAAAATTACCTAGAAAATACCATCATCTTCTCTTCCTGCAGCTGGACGTGGGCCAGGGCCCTGGCTCCAGAGGCGAAGGGCAAAACTAAAAATCATGTTTCAACAGACCGCTCCACCCTCTCTCTCAAGTCCACTTGGCCTTGTGACAAAAAGTGAGGTCTAAAGCACATTCATCCAAGGCCTGGGTTTTTGGCTAAAACTCAAGACTCTTATAGGACAAACAAAAATGAAATCCAAAATGTTATCACCCCGCCTTACAAAGTCAAATGGGTTTAAATGGGTGAACTGCATATGCCAAATGGTCCACATTTGCAATTTAATAGGGAACCCATAGAACTTGACGAAAATGTGACTTTTTTATTCTGAGAAAGGTCATTAGCTGAGATTTTAAATTCCAAAGTGATTTTTGATAAATTGGAGTGTGTGTGTGTGTGTGTTTGTGTGCGTGTGTGTGTGTGTGTGTGTGTGAGAGAGAGAGAGAGAGAGGGAGGGAGGGAGGGAGAGAGAGAGAGGAAGAGAGAGAGAGACTCTTTTTCCATACCAAATCAAGCACTCTGGGGGTGAACGGCTCACTATTGGGAAGTGGGAGGGTTCGGAGATTCCACTGTGGGGGCCTGCTTGCCTGGCATGACTGCCGCCCAACTCTAGGTAAGCCTCCTAATGCCCTTTATTCTCTTTCACTGAAAGCTCCAGTTCTTAAGAACTCACTTTCCCCAATGCCCACCCACTCTGACACTCCCCATCCTCTCTTACGCTTTGGATGGGTGAGAGTCCAGAGACACTGTCAAGTAATTTTTACCTCTTCCCGAGCTAGTGACAGGCTCAGTACAAATAGCTACATTGAGAAAGTACCTCCATGCTACAGATTCCACAGCCAACACTTTGACAAGACAGTCCAGGGCTATGAATACCACCATCTGATCCCACTGGGCAGATTCGTGCTGAAATGGCAGGACCAGGCGTTCCAAGTGTGTTTTCCCCTTCGCTCCTTAATTAAAACCCTCTGTTCCAGCCAGTCGGCTGCATTCACCATCTCCTCCACACACTGAACGCATTCTGGTCTCCAAGCCTTTGTTCACACTGCTTTCTGCTCTTAGAGAATGTACTATTCTCTCTCCTCGCAAAGGGTCTGATCTTGCCATCCAGATAAAGTCCTCCCTCACCCCACAATCCCCTCTCAAACACTGACAGAACACAGGGAGATGTCTCATTTTCTCCAGCCTCAGCCATTGTTTTCTGACTTCTTTTTCGGTGTTCCATTTTGGGGCTGCCTTTGTGTCTGCCTTACGCTGTTATAGTATTTAAATACACTCTTCCTTCATTACTGAAGCGTCATTGAGTTTTGCATGTAGAGCAAGGGTTTTTTTTTTTAGACTTTATTTTTTAGAGCAGTTTTAGGTTCCAGCAAAATTAAATAGAAAGTATACAGAGATTTCCCATATGCTCCTTTCCCCAACACATGCACAGCCTCTCCCATTGTAAATATCCCCTACCAGAGTGGTGCATTTGTTACAACTGATGGATCCACACTGACACATCATTGTCATCCACACTCCATAGTTCACATCAGGGTTCACACTTGGTATGGTACATTCTATGGGTTTGGACATATTTATCATGACATATATCCACCATTATAGCATCATACAGAATACTTTCACTGCCCTAATAATCCTCTGTGAGAGCAAGGTTTTCAAACAATTTGCAGGGCTGTGGGTTTCCTTCTTGAGGGATTGTGGGGTATCTATGAGTTCTCTAATGGAAACATTTATTTTATGTTTTCCTTTAGATGAGAGTCAAAAAGCATGCTAGGGATCACCTGCTTGCTGCTGCCTTATAACCATGTATGTCGGACTTCAGGCCTGCTGGAGTGTCTTTGCTACAGTCGTGAGAGACTTGGGGGAAGAGACCACATCCAGGAACCATGAATATGTAATGATGGATTTGTGCCACAGGAGGGTGGTTCTTGGAGCCATCACCCACACAGGGTCACGAAGGTGGCTGAACTGGGAAGAACCTGCACCAGGGAAGTCAGCCCGATAGTCATACTGTGAATAGAACTTTAGTTTCAGTGAAGCATCCACTTGTCACATTAAGTTAATGTGATTCACTTAAATGGTTATTGTTTGGGGGTAAATTTGATTTGTAAACTTTGGGGGAAGGCTGTAAAATTATCTAATAAGCTATAGCTCAAATATATTTTAAAACCCTCAGTGGCTTCTCATTACCCTTTAGAACAGAGTCTAAGCCACTTAGTAGGCCAAAAAGACCATACATTATCTGACCACTGATTAGCTTTTCAAGCTCATCTTCTGTCGGTTCAGTTTTTTGTTGTTGTTGTTGCAGGCATGAAGACCTCTGTCCTGTTCCTCACACAAACCAAGTCAAGCTTGCTCCTGATTCACAGACTTTAACACTTGCTCCCTCTGTCCTCCATCTTCACAGGGCTAACTACTTTTGAAGATTCGTATCTATTAAAGTGTCCCCTCCTCAGGGCAGACTGTCCTAGTCACCCAGCTCAAACAGTTCTTCCAAACCCCCATCACTCTCCAGATCTGTTTCATTTTTTTTTGCAACATTCATTCCTATCTGAATATTTATTATATGAAATCAGTCCTCATTTTTTATGGATTCCATGGTTGCAAATTCTCTTACTTTCTGAAATTTACTTGTAACCCCAAAATAAATATTCCTAGATCATTCATGAATAAGCAAAGAGTGGCAAAAAATTTGAGTCCCCTGATGTACCTGTTCCCAGCTCAGACAGAATAAGACTACACTCCTTTCTTGTTTCAGCTCTCATATTGTAAACAAATATCTTTTTTTTGTTGCCTATTTGGTGCCATGGTTTTTGCATTTTTTTTTTTCGATTTCACTGTTTGGAATGGCCCCAAGCATAGTGCTGAAGTGCTGTCTAGTGTTCCTAAGTGCCAGAAGGCTGTGATGTGCCCTACTGGAAAAATACATGTGTTAAACAAGCATCCTTCAGGCATGAGCTATTGGCTAAGGATCCAATGTCAATGAACCAACAATACACATTAAATCAAGTGTCTTTAAACAGAAACACACATACAATAAGATAATGTATTCATAGGCTGATGAAAATGTTGTAACCAGAAGGTCGTAGGAATCAAATCCAGTATCTCCCTCAGAAGCAATGGTTCATTTAGTATTTGTCAGTTTGGCATTTGTGGCAACTTTATAGAATACAACTGTTGTACATAACAAGAATTAACTGGCCAGGTGCGGTGGCTCACTCCTGTAATCCTAGCACTTTGAGAGGCCGAGGCTGGTGGATCACCTGAGGTCAGGGGTTCCAGACCAGCCTGGCCAACATGGTGAAACCCTGTCTCCACCAAAAAAAAAAAAAAAAAAAAAAATTAGCCAGGCATGGTAGCACATGCCTGTAATTTCCTGCCTCAGGAGGCTGAGGCAGGAGAATCGCTTGAACCCAGGAGGTGGAGGTTGCAGTGAGCTGAGATCGCACTGCTGCACTCCAAACTGGGCGACAGAGTGAGACTCCGTCTCAAAAAAACATAATTAACTATATTTGTTTCTTTGGTTTCCACACTGTTTCTTCCCACCAGAATAAACAGTTTGTGAAGTCGGGGGGGTTTTGTCTGCCCTTGTCACTGTGATACTCCCAGTAACTGAACTATAGTAAGCTCTCAATAAATGGTCATGTATTGAATGAATAAGTATAAGGAATGTATAACTTGTTCTTTGTCTAGATGTATTTAAGTTACATGAAACTAACTTCAGGCAATACTAAAGGTGGACAAAACATCTCTTTTTAAAGAAGTTCTATTGATTACACAAGTTTGAGTAGTAAGATGTAGGCTATGAACCTGTTGGCACCAGAGATCGTGTCACGTTTCTATTCTTATCAAAGTTAAAAACACAAAGCATGAATTTAAAAACACATTACGTTCTCCATGAATGCTGGTTTAATGAATAAATAATTGATAAAATCTAACAAATCTAGTATTCTTTTGACTACGAGGATAGAGAAGACAATATTTGCCCTTACTTCATGGTAGAATGTCAATTATATTTGTGCTGTTATTCTTGCATGTTTTGCAATGATAACATGTTGGTTGGTATGTAAACATTGTACATTTGATTGGACAGAAGAGGAAAGATCAATGGAGTGAAAAAAAGGTGATAAATGGAGAATGGAGTAGTCAGAGACATCAATAAGGAATGGACTGAGGTGTCTTTGTAGGTCCATGGGGGTCAGTTGTGTTTCAGTCACTAGGGTGTCCAAATGAGGATGGAAATAAATTCACAATACATATAAAACCTCAGAGATTATCCTGTCCTATAATTGTTGCCAGAAATATGACTGCTGGCAACTTAATTTAATTGATATGTAATTGGTCAATAAGACAATCAGCCTATATGACACATTAATCATTTAGTACCCTGACTGAGAGCTATGGAGAGTATAGAATAGATGTAAAATATGATCACTGACCTTAAGAAGCTACAGCTCAGTGGAAAAGAGGGAAGCAACTAACACATAAATGCAATAAAAAACATTTACATCATATTCAGGTATTAAATTTTCTGGCATTGATTAAAATTATTACAATAATTGTTTTCTGACTATAGGAGTGTTGCATTATTGAGCCAGAAAAAACCTGGTAGATAATTTAGGCATCTGAGTCCACTACTAAATGGTATGTAAGAATAGGTGGACAGTTCAAAATATTAAACCATTTTATTTAACAGACCAAATTCTAACTGACCCAATTACAATTAACATAAGATGGGAAAAATATGGGCCTAGAAAGATCTCTAAATCACTCCTTTCTAGACATTTTTTTTCTTTAACTTCTACTGTGAAAACTGGAATCTTCATTAGGACTCAGACGTAGAAAAGGCCCAGTTTCAAGGACTCTGACTCGCACAGACTGAGCACACCCATTTCCAAAAGTTCCAATACTTTCCTCATTCTCCTCAACTTCTGATCTCTCCAGTTCCAGTCAAAACCCAGAAACTTTAAGGGGTTCAAATTAAGGCCACCTTGTTTAACAAGTTCTTTAATTCTCCCTGGAGTTCCTACACCCAGGAGCACCACACACTTCTCCAGTAACTTTACCTGCCCCTGGACATTTATGTGCCTAGTTTATGAGACTAATGGTTAGACACCTGTCTAAAAGTGTGAAGAACCATGAAATGCAGGTGGAGGTGTTTGAAATGATTAAGAAAGCAAGTAATGCAATTATCAGTTAGTTTCCAGAGTTATGTTTTTCAGGACTACTATTCTTTGGTATGCTTGGTTAAAAACCAATCCCGTATTTAGGTCACTCTGATAAACTTCACATGCCATATATGCAGCTCATTCGTGAAGAATAAATTAAAAAAGACCTTCTTACTACAGATGCTTGTTGACTTTAACTTTCTGCATATATATATACACACTATATATATAGTAAATATACATTTGCATATGCTATATGCATATACTATATATAGATATAGATATATATAGAGAGAGTAAATCATGGAACTCTTGCCTTTGAGAAATGCCTGTTAGAGTTCCACAGAATACAAACACTACTGTATGTTGTAGTATAAGGAAATGGCATAATGAAAAGTATATTTTGGGTAGATTATCTAAAAGGATTATGTAGGAAGAATGAGCATGGGGAGAGACCTACCTCAGAGAAACTGGTAATAATTTTGTCACAAACTTGATAAAGAAGATATAGTCTTTCTCTGCTGTTAAGGAACTATTTTCCCAATAAATAGACTTTCTTGAGTGGAGCTGGAGGAGGTCATCCTTAGAGAAAAGCATGACCACTTTAATTTATTACAGATCAAGCTAAACATAAAATACTGTAAAGAAAAGAAAGAATGTCACACACAGGTACACACTCATAGACACAAACACACTTCATTGTGATGGTCTATGGATTGCTACCTTAAGAAAATGGTCCTAATAGCAGAAGACAGCAAAACTCAGCTCATTGACTGGCCTTTGTTAAAGGAGGGTGATTGAGGGAAAAAAAAAATCAAACCAACCAGGCATAAATTAAATTCCATAGGTGGGTGGAAGCCAAGTGTCTCATGCATAACCCTCCTGGATTGGTGACCCGTCAAATCCCTTAATGTAGTTGGGTCTGGCAGAGAGGTAAAGAGGAACTCTGGTTTAAAAGTTAAGTTTTTAATCCTTAAGGAAGGTCCTAAGTGAGAAGGAAGCTGACAGATTATAAGAGACCTCCTCTTACTTTTGCCTTGGGCTTAGATCAAGTCAATGAACCAGGGGACAGAAGAGAAAGCTATTCCACTTAATCACCAATTCCACAACATTCCTTTCCAGAAACTTCCACAAAGCTGGTGCATTTCCAGTAATAAACACTGAGGCCTGGTTCCCTAGAATTTATGGGAGGGCCAGTTACTTCACTCTGGAAAGAAAAAGAAGAGTTTTTTTCTTAGTATATTTCAATATTTCTTTTACAACATCTATGTATTTCTTTACCTTGTTTCACAATTTAGTGCATAATTACACTGTTTTTTTTTAGAATAGGATATTGCTTTGTTCATCTTTATCCTGAGTCTAAATATGTTAGTTTGCTAGTATTACACACAATATGGAATGAGTAGGATTTGCCCATTAGAAGTAATTACTACTTTATTATCAACATGGGACAAAACATATTGGAAGATTATTCTCATTCTTCTGGTACTTTGTAAAGAATAACTATAATAAGAATTTTGCAGTGGAAAAATAAATATAATTATTTTTTGAAAACTATTCTTTTTTATTATACTTTAAGTTCTGGAATACATATGCAGAACATGCAGGTTTGTTACATAGGTATACCCATGCCATGGTTGTTTGCTGCACCCACCAACCCATCATCTACATTAGGTATTTCTCCTAATGCTCTCCCTCCTCTAACCCCCAAGCCCCCGACAGACCCCAGTGTGTGATGTTCCCCTCCCTGTGTCCATATTTAATAAATGGAGTTGGGAAAACTAGCTAGCCATATGCAAAAAACTGAAATTAGACCCATTCCTTACACCTTATACAGAAATCCACTCAAGATGGATTAAAGATTTAAACGTAAGACCTAAAACCATAAAAACCCTAGAGGAAAACCTAGGCAATACCATTCAGGACACAGGCATGGGCAAAGGCTTCATGACTAAAACACCAAAAGCAATGGCAACAAAAGCCAAAATTGACAAATGAGATCTAATACAACTAAAGAACTTCTGCACAGCCAAAGAAACTATCATCAGAGTGAACAGGCAGCCTACAGAATGGGAGAAAAGTTTTGCAATCTATGCATCTGACAAAGGGCTAATATCCAGAATCTACAAGGAACTTAAACAATTTTACAAGAAAAAAACAACCCCATCAAAAAGTGGGCAAAGGATATGAACAGACACTTCTCAAAAGAAGACATTTATGTGGCCAACAAACATGAAAAAAAGCTCACCATCACTGGTCATTAGAGAAATGCAAATCAAAACCTCACTGTCAGTTAGAATGGAGATCATTAAAAAGTCAGGAAACAACAGATGCTGGAGAGGAAGTGGAGAAATAAGAATGCTTTTACATTGTTGGTGGGAGTGTAAATTAGTTCAACCATTGTGGAAGACAGTGCGGCAATTCCTCAAGGATCTAGAACCAGAAATATCATTTGACCCAGCAATCCCATTACTGGGTATACACCCAAAGGATTATAAATCATTCTACTATAAGACACATGCACATGTATGTTTATTGCAGCATCGTTCACAATAGCAAAGACTTGGAACCAACCCAAATGCCCATCAACGATAGACTGTATAAAGAAAATGTGGCACATATACACCATGGAATACTATGCAGCCATAAAACAGGATGAGTTCCTGCCCTTTGCAGGGACATGGATGAAGCTGGAAACCATCATTCTCAGCAAACTAACATAGGAACAGAAAACCGAACACCGCATGTTCTCACTCATAAGTGGAAGTTGAACAATGAGAACATATGGACACAGAAAGGGGAACATCACACACCAGGGCCTGTTGCGGGGTGAGGGGCTAGGGGAGGGATAGCATTAGGAGAAATATCTAATGTAGATGACGGGTTGATGGGTGCAGCAAACCACCATGGCACGTGTATATAACAAACCTATGGCACCTATGTAACAAACCTGCATATTCTGCACATGTATCCCAGAAGTATAATAAAAAAAGAAAGCTTAAAAAATTAATTATATTTTTCCACTACAAAATTCTTATTATATCTATTCTTTACAAAGTACCAGAAGAATGAGAATAATCTTCCAATATTTTTTGTCCCATGTTGATAAAGTAGTAATTATTTTTAATGGGCAAATTCTACTCATGCCACATTGTGTGTAATACTAGGAAACTAACATATGTGAGACACGGGATAAAGATGAACAAAGCAATATCCTATTCTAAAAAAAAGTGTAAGTATGCACTAAATTGTGAAACAAGTTAAAGAAATACATAGATATCATAAAAGAAATATTAAAATATACCTAGATATGCCTACACATACTTTCCTGAGATCTAAGACAAATGAAAGTACCTCTGTCTTTTTGTCTTGCCACTTTTAAATCCCTTTCAAGAAGTCAGGACTTTGGAGAGCAGGTGTGAAAAGACTAATGGGGTTTTGGGTGAGGATTAGAAGTGCTAGTGACAGGAGTTTGTTGGAACCAAGAAGGATGAGGAAGGGAATATATATTTGGCCCCCCAAATTTAAAAACAATTATAAGTTGATAAAAAGAAAAGCCAAACTGAAGATAAAATATAGAAGCCAGTAAACATAAAGCTAGCAGAAAGGCCAGATGAGATAATTCTGCAGTGATCCATTCCAGATGAGGTCGTGTGGCAATGTATTTACAGAAATACACTTAAAATTATGTGACATCAGTGGCATAATGCCAGTCACATGTGATTATTCAGTTAAATGCAGCTACAATTATTATTATGACTATTGTAATCATAATTGGCTTCGTCTGAAAACTTAGATGTAGTGAATTGGGCGGGGCAGCCTCATGAAGGATTGCAAAAGTAAATACTCCAGTCAATGAAGTCGCTATCATTTTATGAGGTGGAATTGTGAGAGTGTGCATTCATAATCCAATCAACTACTGTGGAGATAGGAGGGATGCATGTGATGTATCCAGGGGTTACTCTGGAACATAAATACTGCTGGTAATTTGATAGAGCAGTCATCAGAGGTAGGACATTACACTATCACTGTTGTTCAAAATACTGAGGAGAAGGTAAGATGTCCTTACTGCCCACCTTCAGTCTACATGACATCAGGCAAGAGGTGATGTGGCCCTACTTTCACATAAGCTGTCACCTTTGTCATCTTCAGAAGAAAGTCTACACTCCATCGCATGGCATCACAAGGCTGCCTTTTTGCCTTTTGTCATCTGATCCCATTTTGTCCCGAGAGCTGTCCTTTCATTATTCTGTTCCAGTCACCTTGTACCCACTGCTCCAGCCTTACTAAAGCACTTTAGCATCCAAATAACAACAGCAACAATTACCATAATATTCAACAGTAATAGTGGTAATTATTACTATTGCTACATCTTTAATATTCTTACCCTATACTTAGCATGGTTTTAACATCTTTACAACTATTCACTCATTTAATCTTCACAAGAACTTCATGAAATAGGAGGTATTTTAATCCCCATTTTAGAGATGACTAAACTGCAGCACAGAGAGGTTAAGTAACTTTTCTAGGTTCACACAGCTAGAGAGTACTAACTATCTCATGTGTCTGTGTTTTTCCATACTCTGTTCATTCTGCTTGAATGCCCTTTCCTTTCTCCCTTTACCTAACTAAATTTCCTTCAAACTTCTGCTTTCTTTTTTCAATGTTATGGTTTCTTAAATATTTCCTAGTAGGATTTTTAAAGCTTAACCTCAGTTTCTAATTATTATATTTCTAAATTATGGCTATGAATTTTACTGCTCAAAACTACTGCTAACTAAATATTTGCTATAGTATGCTTTCAATGTACATCTTTTTAAAAACCAGCATTTATTTATTCATGTATTAATTCAGTGATTTACTCAGTGCCTACCAGGTCCCAAGCACTATGCCAGGTAATGGGATACAGACAAAAAACACAGGGACTTACTCTCAAGGAGCTCACAGTCTTACAGGGAAAGGATGGCAATTCTGTCCCAGTTGCATACTCACTGTGATTCAAGAGATAAATTTTTTAATCATTGTATTATTTATAATATACCCATACTTAACATTTATTGTAATACATAATCATTTAAATGAAGATATTTAAAAAGGAATAACAAATGTTCTTCCTCAGGAAAAAATGTTTCTTGTCTCTTTTATTCATAAAATTCAAATTATTCTTTTCTAGTAGCTAACAGGGAAAACAATCAGCTAAGACAGCCATCTTATATTTTAACCCCATCAGAGGATGTAAAAGTGAAATAGGTAATATTTATTGATTTCACAGTAGTTGCTTGAAAATTAAAGATTATCTTTCTAATTTGTGCAAAGTCATAATTCTCCAGTCACTTAGAAAATTTTATTCTCAGAGCAGAGTCACTGTTAAAAGATTAGAGGATTGAGATGCATGTTAACTGCTAGGAAAGATTGTACAATGTCTACAATGTCAAGATATATTCAGGGGAAGTCAGTGATTTCCATCAATCAAATGTGTATCACGAAAGGTTCTTGGATGACAGCACCCCAGGGTGGTGTCCAAAATCCACACCAAATACAAACACATGGGTTAAGTTAGGCCATATACCTGATCAGTCGACATAATGGAATTGAATTTTAAGACCCAAAAGTTGAGAGCAGAAAGGATTTAGAAGATAGATTTAATACAAATAGAAGAAACATAAGCCCATTGAAGTCTAAAGAAAGGGACTGACCTGGCAAATACATGAACAGTATCATGAACCTAAATCCCCCTGAAGTTGTACCAGGACCAAAATAAATATTAACCCAAAATTTAACTGGAATCCACTGAAACTTTCCAAACTGGATGCATTAATAAAAAAATCCAAAGACTCAGAACTTGTCTAGCCACTAAACTAAACTGCAGCACAGGAAAAAAAATTATCCAAAACCTCAGCAAACAGACAAGCTGAGTGGAATAATGAATGTCTTAATCCAGCCAAGAGTACATACTTTATTTCTGAGCATCAGCTCCAGCATGTTTTGATGGACAGGAAATTTAATGTGCTAAGATACAGTAAAAGGTAAGAGTTGGTACTCAACAGAATTTATTCAGGCAATGCATTTTTAGTACTTTTTTTTAAAGGATCATAATGGACAGACTAAAATATGTAGTTTTTTTACTATCCTCTAAAAGCAGCCTCATTGAAAAAAGGATGTTCCAAGGGACTAATCAACATTATTAAAGCAGCAAAGTCATCAAAGAAAAGGAAAATGATAAAAATGACCCCTGGAACAGGCAAGAAAGCAGGTCAGGGCAACTTTTGAAGAAGCAGGTCTAGTGGCAATCATGGGGATAAATACAGGCTGTAGAGGGTGAAACTGCAGTTTGGTAGAAAAAGGCACAAGATAAACCGAATGGGAAAGGGTATTGTTTAGGAACTTAGCACCCCCAAAATATGTAATATCATGTTTGTCCCACTTCAAAAACTCAACCTGTTCAATCCTCATGGAAAGTTTAAATAAAACCCTATAAAATTAATGGAAATATTAACTATTCAAATCACAAAGAGAATTGACAATGATTGCATTTTCTCTAAATATGCTTTTTCATTTAACTACAGTATTTCTAAGATCCCATGTAGAGAAGTTTCATTTTAAATTTGGATCTTTAAAATCATCACTTCTCTCTTTCAGTATGTGAAGTGTTATTGTCTCTCTGGCAATCATTTAGCTATGCAAAGTGAATTCATATGGACTTCTCTATAGGCTTCAGGGTGAGATTCATTTTGCTCACTGTGCTAATTCCAGCATGACATTCCCCCTCGAATACAGACTTCCTTTTTTAATATTTTATTATTATGTTAGACATGTGAATTCTTGGGCAGTAGAGTGTATAAAATGCATATTTCTGTTGCCAAATTTTCTTGTTGTCGAATTGTTTGCTTTTGATCTTTTCTGGTTATCTTTTTGAGCTATACTGTTTTTTTTTTTGTTTGTTTGTTTTTTTTGAGATGGAGTCTCTCTCTGTCATCCAGTCTGGAGTGCAGCGGCTCACTGCAACCTGTGCCCTCCAGGTTCAAGCAATTCTCCTGCCTCAGCCTCCTGAGTAGCTGGTACTACAGGCATGAGCCATCATGCGTGGCTAATTTTTTGTATTGTTAGTAGGGACGGGGTTTCACCATGTTGCCCAGGCTGGTCTCGGACTCCTGAGCTCAGGTGATCCGCTCACCTCGGCTTCCCAAAGTGCTGGGATTACAGGTGTGAGCCACTGTGCCCCACCACTATACTGTATTTTATCAACAAAGTATTATATTGCAGACTTTTAAAAAATTTGATTTCATTCTATTTCATAGTGTTGTCTCTTAGCACCAATTCTTTCTACGATTTGGAGGATTTTTCCTTATGTTATTTAATTTACAAGCTGAAGTGTGAGGCTATCACTAATCCTATTAAGACTCTATTATAAACTTCTTTGCCTTGTTTAAATGATAAGATGACTCCAAGTTACCCAATAAGTTTAAAGTAAAGATTATGAAGGTAATCATTATTGTCAAAAGGGACTACAATAATTACCCATCTCATATCTTTGTCTCCGCTACACTTCCATGAAAATTCTCATTGTCAGTAAGATGGAAAAAGGCCAAAAAACTCCATTTCCAATATTTTCAAGAGAGTATTTTTTTTACTTTGCCTCTTTTATTAAGATAAAGGTTATTTTCAGCCATAGTCCTGCAAAATGTGATTAGTAATTTTTTTTTTTTTTTTTTTTTTTGAGATGGAGTCTTGCTCTGTCACCCAGGCTGGAGTGCAGTGGCACACTCTTGGCTCACTGCAAGCTCTGCCTCCTGGGTTCACGCCATTCTCCTGCCTCAGCCTCCCGAGTAGCTGGGACTACAGGCACCCGCCACCATGCCCAGCTAATTTTTGTATTTTTAGTAGAGACGGGGTTTCACCGTGTTAGCCGTGATGGTCTCAATCTCCTGACCTTGTGATCTGCCTGCCTCGGCCTCTCAAAGTGCTGGGACTACAGGCGTGAGCCACTGTGCCCGGCCTGTGATTAGTAATTTTAAGAGATGTGATTGCTTCCTTTAAATTTTACGCTCATAGAGATTAAGAAGAGGAGAAAGCCATTAGCCCATATTGTCAAGTTTCAAGCGTAACTGTTTAGGACAACATAAAGGGTTAGAATTAATTTGGGGTTTCAAATACATTCACCGTACAAACCTCTGGCCAGAACATGTAGCATATTCATTATATGAGGAAACCTTGTTGCAGGTGGGACAATAGTTTTCATTCTCCTGTCTGAACCCTAAACTAGATCCCCAGTTCTCTAACACAACCCTGGGAGAAAGGAAGGGTCCCTCAATGTAACTGAACTGCCCCACCAGCTCTGTAGGATGGGATGTTTGAAATAGAACTTTACGGTGGTTTAGGGCATGGCTCTTTATATTTTAGCAACATCTGGATTACTTGGAAGGCTTCTAAAACACAGATTGTTGGCTCCCATCCCCAGAGTTTTTGACACAGAAGGTCTGGGGTGGGGCCCAGACGGTTTGCATCTCTAATAAGCCCCAGGTAATGCTGTTGCTTCTGATCTGGGGCCACATTTTGAGAACACTGGCTTGGAAGAATTGTAAAGAAGTGGTGCATCTCCCAAACCTGGATCTGTTCACCTGCTCTAGTAATGGTGGGGACAGACTGTGGACAGCTTTGAATGTCAGATTCAGGAGATTCCTGTAAGAGATTCCACAATGGCAATTTTACACAATTCTTGGCACTCTTCTTATCACCTCATAAAATTTAAATTAGATATCACCTATGAAATACATCTGTGATATTTAGCCCCAGCTGGTCCTCAAATCTATGCAGTTCAGGGCCCTGTCCCATCTCTTACAGGACCTGGTCTAATCCTCCTTCCTCTCCCTACCACATCCCAGTTCCCATCATCGTTAACAGATAACTGCCTCTGACTCCACCGAAGAAATGGGGGACCTTCTCTTCTTTCCTCCTTCTCCCTCCACTTCCATGTAGCTAAACTTACTTGTAAGCCTTTTTTTAGTCTTGCCAATATCCTGCCTCTTCTCCCTATCCTAAACCTGACATGGTCACTTGAAATAATCTTCCTCTGGTTTTTTCTTTTAATTTAATTTTTATTCCAATAGCTTTTGGAGTTCAAGTCGCTTTTTGTTACATGGATGAGTTATATAGCGGTGAATTCTGTTCCTCCATTTTTTAAACCATACACCTTTCACTGGCTCCTCTTCAGGCCGCAAATATACTCAGGTCTCTCAGAGAGTATAATAATAAAATCCTTCCTTGGCCTGGCTTTCCCTGCTAGTCGCCTCTCTATCTCCTTATGTTCACTGCCTCATGTCTGAAAGACTAGTCTATATTTTCTGTGTCTACTGTCTTCCCTTTTCACTCTGCAACCACTCACAATCTGTCTCCAGTGCTCCACTAAAAGTGTTCTCACTGAGGTCCACGTGACCCTCTTCTTGCCTTGCCATCTGTGTATTTCTTGATATCTCTGGTGTTTAACAGTCTTTATCACATTCTTTATTGAGCATCCTGTTCTCACGCCTCAGCACCTGCAGCATCAGCAGGTCCAAGATTGCATTCATAGCCTCTTCAATTCATGTTCTATTATAATGTTCACCTTTGGAATAAATGATGGATCACTGTCATATCTATATTTCTAACTCATCCTTTGCCCCTGAGCTTCAGTATTACGCTGTCAATTGAATATTTGTGTCCCTCCAAAATTCATATGTTGAAACTTGATCCCTACTGTGATAGTATTAAAAGGTGGGAACTTTAGGAGATGATTAGGTCATGAGGGCTCCACCCTCATGAATGGGATTAGTATCCTTATAAAAGAGGCTTCAAGGAGCCTGTTAGCCCCTTCTTCCATGTGAGGATGCAAGAAGAAAGCACCATCTATGAGGCAGTGAGCACTCACCAGACACCAAATCTACTGGCACCTTGATCTTGGACATATCAGCCTCCAGAACTGTGAGCAATAAAGACTATTGTTTATAAGTTACCCACTCTAAGTTGTTTTGTTATAGAACCCTGAATGGACTAAGACAAATATCTTCAATTACATTGTGGGAATTTCCAGACACCTCAGTCTAAGCATGCCCAGACCACTGATTTCCTACCTCTAACCCAAGCCCACTCCTCCCCTTGCATGTCCTGTCTCAGTCACTGGCACCACCATTCTTCACTCAGATGCTAACGACAGAAATATCAGAATCATCACTGACTCCCCTCTCAAATCAGGTCTGCTGGTCACTGCATCTGGTTGATTTTATTTCTCAGATTGGTGTTCTCCTCCACAAGCTCACTGCCTAAATTCTGGCTCTCACCTGGATGACCAAACCAGACTTACAACTGGGCTTCTTGTCTCCAGGCTTAACACGATGGTGTGGAAAAGAACACAGTCTTTGGGGTCACCCAAATCTGAATTTGAATCCCAGTTTCCCCACTTATTCACTAAGAACATCAGGCAAGTTATTTACGCTCTCTTGTGCCTATTTCCTCTTATATAAAATGGGATACTAACATCTACTCACAGGTTTATTGTGAGCATTTAATGAACTAATGTATTTCAAATATTTAGCACAATGCCTAGTACATAGTATGACCTCGATAAATGTTGATCTTGGCTCCCCACACAAATTCATCTTCCACAGTATTCCAAAGCAAACTCCTTAAAATCAAATTTTGATTAATTCTCTCCTAAAATGACTTGTCACCACCTAGAAAATAAAAATAAATCAACACAATCAAGTATAGACCTATCTTTCCAGCCTCATTCCCTAAATGGATCCCAACCTTCCAGCCATTTGGATGAAAATGGCTGCTTGGACATTTGTTGACTCAGCTGCCTGGAATGCAGCCTGGTTCTCTGTTTGCCAGGTAAACCACTCCGACAAAGTTTCTGCTTCAATGTGGTCTTCCCTGACAGTGGTTAATGATGAAACGTGGTGCGGCAGGAGGTGCTGTGGGAGTAGAGGGAGGGCAATGTAATGTGTTTTAATTCCCTCTCCCTTCATGCTAACCTCATTGTGCTAGAATATGTAACGATTAGCATCCTCTTCTGAATCCTTGGCCCCTTTTATTCCGTCTCCCCTTCCCATTCCCAGTGGGGTCTCAGAGCATTTTCTAGAAATCTCTATTAGTACTTATTTCACCGGAACAAATCACTCACTGCACTCTTCTTTCCCGATGTTCCTACAGTTCCCCTGCCCCACATCTCTTATTCCATGATACATGCCTTTGCCTCCAACCTCAGCCTTCTCATGGGAAGCTACTTCTCCTGCCTGCCTCAGTGGAATCCTAGCTCTGCCCTAACCTCACCACCTCTTCTGCCATTTCCTCATGTAGAAGCTGTTCATTATCATGTATTCTATTTCAAGATAGTGAGAGGGTCAGCTTCTCACTTGCTCTTCAGGGCTATTTTACCGCTTCTTAGGCCTCCAGTAAAAAGTCCTATTTCTTTTAAGCTCAGGCCATCTGGCTGTATCATTCTCTACCTCTTTTGATGTCTCCTCCTAATTCACTGAGGACTTTGGTACTGTGATCGCTGTTTCCTTTTCCATCCCAGTCTAGCTATTTTCTGGCCCACTCCAAAGCCCACAACACACCAGCACCTTGACCTTTTGTGACGTCCTCATTTGCAGTGAATTCCACCCTCACTAGACTTCAGCTATACACATGACCACATCCTTGACTTTTTAAAAAAATCACTTGGAATGATTTCAGTTGTGAAATACTAAATCCAAACATCTCACTTTCTAACAGTAATATCTTATGTTACTAATTCTCTTATTCAATTACTTCCTTCATCCTTGTTCTTTGATCTTATAGGGGCATCCAATCCTTTGCTCTCTTTACTTTCTCCTGTCTGTTTTTATTTCCTTTCTGCTCCAGCTTAGCATCCTTAGCCTATAACATCAGAAGCTTTCTTGTCCATATCTCCCAATTCCTTGCTCTATTGCCCCTCCATCACACTCTGGTAAGGCTCCTGCCCACATCCATCTAACTTTGCCCTTCATTCATTCCCATATTTCCACTGCTGCCCTTTCTTGGAGGAAATCAGTCCTGAAGATTGAAGCTGCTAAAACATTCTGGTTTCTGACCGCAACTGGACCCACCACACTGACCACAGTCCATCTTTCATTCCCTAATCAGCTCTTCCTATTCTCCTCTGTGATCAGCTGAAATCTGCTCCCTTCAGTAGCTCCACTTCCCACTCAGCAGAGTATTTAACCCCCTACAGCATTAAGAAAATAGCCATCACAGGAGAGTTTGCTCTGCTTTCCTTCACTAACTCTACACACGGACACACACATGATCCCATCCTTACCTGCTCTTCTGTTACAACAGAAGAGATGTTGCTGCTCAGATTTAAAATTCACTTCCCTGTCCATGCTATGAATTCATTTGTGGCAACATTTTCACGGCCCTTTCTCTACCTTACACTTACAGATTTTCTACTCTCCTTCACAGGCTCTTCCACAGCAGCAACATCCTTGAGCTCTCTCTAATCTCAAGAAGAAAAAAAAAAAGGAAAGAAAACATCTTGATTTTAATGCTTTCTTGCTTTCCACTCATTCTTTAACGTATTGTAATTTTTTGTCCCACCCTCAACAAACTCCAAAGACACTGCTTTTGCCATGGACACTAGTGGCTTCTGAGTTGCTAAATACAATGGACATATTCCCGTCCTGATGTTTCTTCTCTGAAGTATTAGCCATTATTACTAATTGCTTTTTCTGCCTTTTAAAGGTTCTTTATTATAGAAAATTTTAAACATATTCAGAGATAGAGAGACTAATATCAATCATCCAGCTTCAATAATTAGCAATCATGACCAATGTTAGTCACCTACATTCACAAGCTCTCCCATTCCCAACTGCTTATTTTGAAGCAAATCCCTAATATCATATAATTTGTTCTGTATTTCAATATGCATCCCTAAAAGGTAACACCATTTAAAGTGATCATAACAATTATTGGCCAGACACAGTGCCTCACACCTGTAATCCCAGCACTTTGGGAGGCTGAGGCGGGTGGATCACGAGGTCAGGAGTTCGAGACCAGCCTGGCCAACATGGTGAAACCCCATCTCTACTAAAAATACAAAAATTAGCCAGTTGTAGTGGCGGGCACCTGTAATCCCAGCTGCTCGGAAGGCTAAGGCAGGAGAATTGCTTGAACTGGAAGGTGGAGGTTGCAGTGAGCCGAGATGGTGCCACTGCACTCTAGTGTGGTCAACAGAGAGAGACTACATTTCAAAAAAAAAAAATTACTAAAAATAGTACTGCATGAATATCATCAAATATACAGTTAGTATTTGCATTTCCCTGGTAGCCTTGTAAAGTTTTTCACCTGGTTGCTTGTTTGAATCAAGATCTATGTAAGATCCATATTTTAAGATCCACTGAAATGTCCCAAGTTTTGTTTTGTTCTGTTTTTTTTTTTTTAATACATTGTTTCCACTTCCAATTTGCCCTTGAGGAAAAATTTTTGGTTTTGTTGCAGAAACTAAATCAGGTGTCCCGTAGATATGCCAGCGGTCTGGGTTTGGTTGATTGCATCCCTGTGGTGTTATTTAATGTTTTGCATCTGTATCTTCTAAATTCAGAGATCTGGAGGATTGATAAGATTCAGATTCAATTTTGAGTGTAAGCCTACTTCAAAGGTGGTATTGTGTATTCTGTAATTATGAAAAAGGTTGTTTCTATTTTTACAATATTATCAGCAATAATCATTGCCTAGATTATGGTGTTTGCAAAATGGTGATTTTCAAATTCTGTCATTTCTTTCTTTCTTTCTTTCTTTTTTTTTTTTTTTTGAGATGGAGTCTCACTCTGTCACCAGGTTGGAGTGCAGTGGCACGATCTCGGTTCACTACAACCTCTGAATCCCTGGTTCAAGTGATTCTCCTGACTCAGCCTCCCGAGCCTCCCTAGCAGCTGAGATTATAGGCAGACCCCACCACGCCCAGCTAATTTTTGTATTTTTAGTAAAGATAAGCATTCACTATGTTGGGCAGGATGGTCTCGATCTTCTGACCTCGTGATCCACCCGCCTCAGCCTCCCAAAGTGCTGGGATCACAGGTGTGAGCCACAGTCCCCGGCCCATTTTTTATTCCTATATTAGCTGGAATTCTGTAAAGAAAAAGTCCCCTCATCAATGATTTAGTAACCCTGAAATACAATTCATATAGAAAAGACAGACTACATGTTTTATTCTTTCATTTACTCACTGGTTTTCAAAATAATGAGTTTGTTTACCTAGTATTCTCCATAGGTGGCCAAAGAGGTTTTTTATTTGTTTGTTTTCTTCAGTATTGTTAGGAACTCATGAATCTATTACTCTTATTGATGTTGTCTGGGCCAACAGAAGCTTACTCAACTTGGTTTCCAAGTCCTTTGACAAAAACTTTGTAGTGTTTGGTAGCATCTTTGCTTGTTATAATAAAATAATCTCAGTTTATTTTATAAATTTCCTGCTCCGCGCTTAGAATCAGTAATTTCTTCTGGGATCCCTGGTTTCCTTGAGTGGAAGCTGTATTTGGGGAGCACATTCTGGGCATCAGGAATGTCATTGCTATTGAATTGGTCACCGTTCCCAGGTCTTTTTGGTGAACAGAGCAGTGAATATGTATTCTTTTGTATTGAAAGATAATACACACCATGAGTTCTTAGTATACTTCCCACTCAGATTCAGGATTACTACAGAATTGTTACTTAACTGCATGCATCTGTATCTCCTTTCAACCAAGCTGATAATCTCAGTTCTCAATGACACCAACATAGTAATTTAACTTATGTTATGATATAAATACAATGGCCTCAGGATAGCAGTAGCAATATGACAACCAGCAATATGAGTACTAGAAGTAGTTTAGATTTTAGATTTTTTTTGGTAGTTTAAAAAAATCCTTAAAATATATCCCTTTAGGAATGTATACCAAACATACAGAGTTTTAAAGTCACTTCAAATCATTCTTTCATGTAAGATTTTGCTACCAATTTGAACCACATTAAAGTTGATTCATGTTACTTTAAATTTTTTAGGAATCAATTTTTAAATTTATTTCATTTTCTTTTATAACTATGTAAAATATTTACATGGTTCCAAAATCAAATGTAAAAATAAGGTATATTCAAAGAAGTCTAGCTATTATTTTTTTCTTTTAGCTTCCTGTCTTGCTATAAGTAACTTTTTTGTTTATCCTTTCAACTTCTAATTATATAATTATAAACAATGATAATATACTATTTGCACTTCTCTCCACTTTGCTTTACTCATTTAAAAATGTATCTTAGGGATCACTCCATAATAGAACATAGAAGTCTTCTTCATTTTTTCTTATACCTGAATAATGTTACTCTCTTGGGTGGAGGTACCATACTTTTGATTCACACAGCACTGTACTGATAGAGATTTTTGAGTTGTATTCATTCTTTTGCTATTCAAATAATCTTTCAGTGAATGTCCTTCTCCATATGTCTTCTGTCTTATTTTTGCTGGTATATCTTTGGCATAGATTCCTAGAAGTGGAAATTGTTCTGTTAAAACATGTATTATTTTTAGATATTGCTAAATCCTCTTCCACAGTGTTGAGCCATTTTGCATTTCCAATGGAAATGTATGAGAACAGCTGGTTTCTTTCGGCCTCATCACAGAGTATGTTGCAAAACTTAGATTTTTGTCAATCTGATAGTTGGAAATATGTTTCTCAACTTGGTTTTAATTTTAATTTCTCTTATAAATGAGGTTGTTATCTTTTCATATAGTTAAAAGCAAATTCTGTCCTCTTAACATGGTTTTTTCCATTAATACCCATGAAGCTGCAAAGAAAATTCTAATTTGTCTTCTATTTCCTGGGTTACTTTTTCATCTCCCTTTTCTAGTTCAATTTCTATTTATTTCCTAAGTATTGCTCTCCCTCCAGATTGCATGTTAGTGTTTCTTTTAAAATCCACTGCTGGGCCAGGTGTGGTGGCTCATGCCTGTAATCCCAGCACTTTGGCAGGACAAGGCGGGCAGATCATTTGAGGTTGGGAGTTCAAGACCAGCCTGGCCAACATGCGAAACCCCATCTCTACTAAAAATACAAAAATTAGGTGGGCATGGTGGTGTGTGCTGTGGAATCCCAGCTGCTAGGGAGGTTGAGGCAGGAGAATCACTTGCACCTGGGAGGCAGAGGCTGCCGTGAGCCAAGATAGTGCCATTGCACTCCAGCCTGGGTGACAGAGCGAGACTATGTTTCAAAAAAAAGAAAAAAAAAAAAAACTACTCATTTGTGAAGATCACTGCTATTCTAGTGCATACGTTCTGTTTGGAGGGCTCTCTCTTCTTCTGACTCACATATCAAACTGCTTAATGGAGATCTTGAAATGCCTCTCCCGGGCACCTTTAGCTCAACATATGCAAAGCTCTGCCCCAGCATGTCCTTCCCCTGCTGTTCTCCAGTGCAGTGAGTGCTACACTCACCAGCTGCCCAGGTCTTAAACCTGGGTTATCTGCTGATGACTCCCTCTCCTACCTTCCTTCTATCAAATCAATCACCAGTTTCTGTGGCTTTTATCTCTTAAATGGTTCTCAAATGCATTTATTTCTCTCCATCTCAGACTACTGGTTTAAGTCACTGTCATTTCTTTCCTAGATTATTGTGCCTTCCTTCCAAGTGGTCTCAGCTTTTCTTCTTGCTCTCAAGCATGGAGAGAATTATATTTTATTTTACTATTTTATTTTATTTTATTTTATTTTAATTTTGAGATGGAGTCTGGCTCTGTCACCCAGGCTGGAATGCAGTGGCCCAATCTCGGCTCACTGCAACCTCTGCCTGACAGGTTCAAGTGATTCTCCTGCCTCAGCCTCGAGAGTAGCTGGGACTACAGGCATGTACCACCATATGTAGCTAATTTTTCTATTTTTAGTAGAAATGGGGCTTCACCATGTTGGCCAGGCTGGTCTCAAACTCCTGACCTCAAGCGATCCACCCACCTCGGCCTCCCAAAGTGCTGGGATTACAGATGTGAGCCACAGCTCCCAGCCAGAATTACCTTTAAAAACATAACATAGGGCCATTTACCAGCTTAAAAACTTCCAATAGCTCAAAATAAAAATAAACAACCAATCAACGAACCAAACAAAAAAAAACCCAAGTCCCAAATCATATATTTCCATAGGTACATATGTAAGTAAGTAGATACCACCAAGCTCCAGAACATAGACATGAAACTGATAAAAGTTTACCCCTGGGGAGGGGACTGAGGTGCAGGCAGTGAAGGGGGTGTTGTGGATGGGGTTGGGGTTGGGGTAGGTAGAGGAGGACTGCAGCTTTATCATTATTTGAATTGTTTGAATTTTTTATAGTTAGAATATTTTCAAGTATTACCTATATGTGTAAAAGTAAATAAAATGGACTTAACTAGCTCTGAGGTAGACTGAGCTCACCAGAAGGTATATGAATTCCCAATGCCAGGTTGCCTGGAAGAGGCTTTAGGGACAACTGTTTCCAGGGAATGAAAAACCATCCTCTGCCCTTATGTATTATCTGAGAATTTCAGTCAAGATATTCTTACCTTGGTGGTCCACAGTTTGACAGTCCAGTCAAATGATGATGTGACAAACAGGTGAGAAAAGTCGATTGGGCCCACTGCCATGTGGCAGTTAATTCCTGTCACTGGCCCTTGGTGACCTTCAAAGACCTCACCAATACCTGCTTTGCTGTAGGAAGAGCACACATGAGCAGAATTCCAGTGACCTCTGAAAAGCAATGATTGCTTAAAAACAAAACAAAACAAAAAACCCTCAACTCTGCATCTCCATAATTTAGAACAACCACACACCACCAAAATGAAATCATTTTTACAGTTATCCTGAAAGAAATTGTTTGCAAATATGTTACCCTATTTTTCATTATTTAAAAACAATGTAGGGCAATGAAATCTTTTTAAAATACAGAATTTAATATCAATATTTATTATTTAATTCTTTTTGCAGAATTCCTCAAAGCCTATCATTGCTGATGCAGCTATTTTAATGGAAACAAATACACTTAGGTCTCTGAAGCTTTTATATTTATAAGACTATTTTATTCTTGAGATAGCATTTTGCACATGGTCTGCTTTATCTCCTTTTGGGGAACCTATTGACTATAAAACTCCATCCATCCTTGAAGGAACAATCATTTATTTTTTTCAAGTAAATTTCTTAAATTACTTTAACATAGCTGAAAATGTAACACTTTGTGGAAACCCTTGTCACCACAAAATAATGCACATAATTTAAATATAATATGGAGAAAATAATGTTTTCTCTTTACTGAAAACAGAAGACAGATTTACATATCCACTGTAAATCCCATACGGGCAAGTATCTTGTCTTTCTTGTTGCCAAGTGTCTGGCATATAGTAAGTGCTCAATAAATATTTGTTGAATAAACTAGCTAAGAAAAAGAGACAAACTTATGTCTCAGTCCTTTTTTAAAACAGAAGCACATTTGAGAAATAATGATAGACATTTAAAAAATTACACACAGACATATCTTGCTTATTTAACTAAGCTGTTATTATTTGCAGCCCTCTATTATCACATAGTATTCTGCATGCAATCATATACAATTAGGAAGATGTGAGAAAACATACCAAAAATGCTATATTTAAAATATTCATGTGCATGAGGTTATAAATATGACAAATATGTAGGAATTGTAGAATCCTAATATTATGTCACTAAGAATAAAAACGAGCTCAGTTATTAAAACATTTGGGCCTCTGGAGCACCAATAAATGTCAATGTGCTTAGCAAAATTTGGAATCATGAGCAAAGTGTGGCAGTGCGTGTTCCATGTAACAGGCACTCAAAAATTATGCCCAGTGAAACTGCTAAGAGCAGTTCCACACATGATCATTTAAATTTGTTCTAATGAACCCGAGGAACTGATCTTTGAAGTGGCCCCTGGTGAGACTCCACTTGCTCTTAACAGCATCCTGAAAGGATTTATAGGGTGCAAAATGAGGACCTTGTTTAATTTATGGAAGTGGATTTGCACCTTCTCTATGTTAGGTGAAAAATAGCAATCCCCTGCTTCTCCCCCATAGACCTATATGACCCATTTAGAATGACTACAAAGCCAATGCCTGCTACGTTACAATGTTACTAAGGTCTGTATTTTATATTTCAGATGGATGGACCAATGTAAAGCAAAATTCAGCTTGTTGTAAAAAGATTTGTGGTGTGTGCCATAGGGACCCTTCTTTTGAACCAAAGTGCATATTCTGATAGTGCTTAGAAAGTACAGTAGCCACAGAACAAGAATGTTCATCATGTAAAATGTTATTCACTTTATAGCAATGAAAAAAATCTGGAAATTATCAATGAATGTATTCTATAGCCTTCGTAGATAATCAAGGACCTAGGTAAAACCATGGGTTAAGTTAACTGAACCTATGCCATGTTGATTCTAATACGCATATAGATAAAGCTGTGACTCCAGGTCTGGCCTACTATACTCTCTATGCCTCTCATGCCACTTAAGACATTCTACTCATGTTCCAGATATTTGTGTATTTATCTTTCTCACCGTCATCAGTTATTTTGAAGAGAGAAACCAGGTTTACATGACGTCTGCAGGCCTTGCAGAACCTAACAATGCACTTTGCTCAAAGTAGGCATACAACAAATATATTTATGAATGAATAACTTTATCAAATATTTTTATGCTTTGATAAAGCTTTAATGTGTGGTTTTAGCCAGGGTTTATGAAGGAGGATCATTGGGAATGGACTGTGAGGCATATCTTCCTAAGTCATCTTTGAATCATGTGAGGGGACAAATACTGCTTGTTTCTACGTGCAGAACAGCAGGAACATAACAGCTTGTATAGTTTGAATGGAAAAAGTCACATAGCTGAGCCATGGATGCTTGTCATTTCTACAAATCACAAAAACACAGGGATATGAACTTGGAACAATTTGTGGTTCTTCATTAAATCTTAATAGCCTCGGATGAGTGCAAGAGATGAAAAAAAATCAATGGAATAAGAACTACTAAAGTAAAAGACAAATTAAGCACCAGTGTGAACATAGTGACCCTTTCAAAAGACATGAGGCCACCTGTTAAGTTTTGCATGCAATTTTACAATCTAGTCCAAACTATTGGATTCCACTTTATACTGACAACTCTTTTCCAGGGGCATTGTGAATCTCTCAGTTAAGGTAGAGTTCTTATCACCTGGGAACTGCATGGTGGTTTGTGTGACTCACTCTGTTCTGACCCATCTGACTGGGAGGAAAGCTTTTAAGGCACTTCTTTAGATTGGATGGATTACATTATATATCATTTCTTTATCCCCAATATATATTTTTAGCTCCTCACTTACTATGTCCTAGGTACTGTGCAGGAAATCAAAGATGAAATGGAAATAATGTAGTAAGAGAAAAATGGCAGATGAATGAATAAACTAAAATACGATTAATGCTATTATAGAAGCATAAGGAAAATATATGAAATTGTCAACTTGACAGCCTATAGTCCTATCCCACTTATTCTACTTTAATTTTCTCCATTGCACTTACCATCCTAAACTATATATTTATTTGCTTATTAGTATTTTACCCTCAACTAGAATATGAACTCTAGGTCTGTCTTGTTCTTTAATGTATCCTTTTGATGATGCCTGGCACATGGTAGGTTCTTAGTAAATATTCCTTGGAAGAGTGAATGAATAAGAGAATTGAAAATTCTATGGGACTTAAAGGTGGGAGTGGTTTTCTTTGCCCAAGAGTCAGAAAATGTTTCACATGGAATGATCTCTGTGCTGGCTCTTGAATGATGAGGAGGAATTAACCAGGCCAAAAAGGGAGAAATGCTAGAACTGGTAAAAGAAGTTGAGTATGCAAACTCATTGAGGCATGGAGGGATAAGAAATATTTGGGGATTGTTATCTCTGATGGGCACATGGCTAGACCCTGAAGGTATGCGGAGATGCTGGGAAGGTGCAAGTGGTCTGTTATGATAGGCTCAGAAGCTCGAGCTTTTTTCCCTCAAGGCAGTGTGAACCACCACAGTCTTATGAACAGCTAATGACCAGAGCAGATGCAGCTCTTTAAGATAATGAAGAGTTGAAGTCGTGCTTTCCATTTTTCCAGAGATGCTTTCTCATAATGCAAGGTGGTTAAAATCCAGAATGTGATAACAGACTTTCGGAAATGAAGAACATGTCATCAGTAAAGAAACAGAAAAATCACCTTCCATGACGACAAGCCGTGTAGACTGTACCTTCCTCACTGCCAACCACGAAGTTATTGACGTCTCCCGTTGGGAAAGCCATTCCGGTAACAGCGACAGGCTTGGACTTATTGTACACCAGCTCCATGCTCTCCTACCAAAACACGGTGTGGTTACATTTCCATCTGTCAACTCCTTGCCATGCCAAAGATAGCACGGAAAAATCATTTGGCTAAATCATGTGTTTGCTTTTCACACAGCGTTACAAAAGACCCCGGCTGTGCCAGAAACCATGCTTTACTGCCCCTGACATTCATGCTTCTGTGGATCTCTGGTTTCAAGCCGGCTGGATTTCATCAGCATGTGCTGCTGCTTCTTAAGTCAGGCAAAGATGACAGGTGAGAATTTTGAAACTAATGGTGCAGAAACTAAAGATAATAATGGTTACACTTGTCAGCTCCAAGCTTTAATAAAACACACAATACCCTTGTATTTACAAACATTTTCAAAATCAATTGTTTGTGAGAATACACATGTATTAATATCAGATGTACTAAGCAAATTTGTCAAAGCAGGAGTATGTGTCCTCCATGGACTAAAACCAGAAAGTTGTCACTCAGGTCATAAAAACCAGATTTCAACAGGGACTAGATTTCATGCAGGGCAGCCATTGGGTGAATAGGCTATAAGCCTGAAAAGAACAATATTTAAATACGTCTTTAAAATAGCAAATGGGAGTCTTTATTTTATAATATGATTTTTTAAAATTGAGAATTAAAGATTCCTAATCTTAAAAGATATACTGCTGAGTTAAGTTTAATGACAGAAAAGAATAATCAATTATAACTAATATCCCTGAGTATTTCTGGCTATTTACATCAAATAGCCTATTTTGTGCATCTGAAATAATTTTTAAAAAATCATTCTGAGGTATCATATCATTATAGTTGCTTGAGAGTTTAGTCTTTCTTGTGCAAATAAACTATTTCAGCCAAGGAGTCCATTAAATTGAAAGTGCAAGCTAACAGTCTAAGCAACACAGACTGATTCTGATCCTGTGATGTGTTCAAAGTTTGTGATATCCACACATAGGGTGCACATCAGCAACTGGGATAAAGGAGAGGATGCTGTGACTATGTCATACAGATAACTGGATCATCCAATGATCTGCTTCATCACTAAAATTAGCAGCAAGGAAGGAAAAGTCCCTTTACCCATTTGGGAGAGAGAAAGACCAGGCCAACTGTTGGATGCCCCTATTCCTCCCTGCCATCCATGGAAGCCATGTCACGAAATCCTCCATCTTTGTATAGACACAGGAGTCTGTGAGCATGCTAAAACTAATACAAACGGACTTAGAGCCACCATATTACTGGTTTTAACCTAAATAAATATGTGTAATGAGCAAAATGGGCAATTAAAAATTCCTAAATAGTGGGCTTGCTCTTATGTCTGTTTATAATCTTCAGGCTTTTAAAAGAAAACAAAACATTGCTGAGAATTTTAAGACAAAGCCATAAAATACCAATCCCTCCAGCCCTCTATAATGTTAAAGATCAGCGAAAATAGTGGAACTTCAATTGTAAGCAGCTTATTAGCACTCTCTCCTTTTTCTCCCTAAAATTATTTTAAAAAAACGTAGTATTCTTTACATCCGTATTTTGTGGAGGCTTAAAGGAGGTTGGTTCTTCACAGTTTCCATATTTCCTTTTGTGTGTGTGCATGTGTGTGTGTATAATAATAATAATAATTATTTTTTTCAAGAGACAAAGTCTCACTCCGTCACCCAGACTGGAGTGCAGTGGTGTGATAATAGTTCACTGCAACCTCGAACTCCTGGGCTTAAGCAATCCTCCTGCCTGAGCCTCCCAAGGAACATGGACTACAGACATGTGCTAGCACACCCAGCTAACTTTTTAAGTTTTAGTAGAAAAAGGGTCTTGCTCTGTTGCCTAGGCTGGTCTTGAACTCCTAGGCTTAAATGATTCTCTCACCTCGGCCTCCCAAAGTGCTGGGATTACAAGTGTGAGCCACCGTGCCCTGTCTCCTTATGTACATTTTGAAACTTTAACTTCTTCTAAAATTGTGTGAGAGACATTCTAGGGTTTTTATCCTGGGAAAGAATATGGGAATGTTAACATTGAGAATTATCTCCTAGATATTGTTTTGCAGTTTTCTCCATGTTTCCTTACATTTTTGTCAAAGTCTATAACAATGACTTCTCTGTTGTTTTTGGTTGGAGGATAGTGAATACTGTTTTTTCACACAAAGAAATATGGAAAAAGCGTGTGTGTATGTGTTCATGTGTGTATGCGCATGTCTTGTGTGTTTGTCTACATATGCATATCTTGCAAGTTGCATTTAGTTGTCTCCCTTTGACAGCCTCTCCCACTTCTATTCCTTTGTTTGGTCCCCACTGTTGCAATCAGTATTGGTTTGCAGACTTTGGAACTTTTTCATTTTTGACTTCTCATTTACTGAGCAAGGAATGACAGGAGCCATACTAAAAAACATTCCAGAGGGGAAAACAGATGGTTTCTTCATACACACAGGCTGTTGTCTAGGCTACGGATACAAGCAAGGGCTTGGATTTCTGTTTTGCTGGGTTACCTTCCCTCCAATGCAAGTACCCATAAGGGATTGCTCTGCTGAGCTCCAACCTCGTCTGCATCTGTTCAACAATGCTGTAGGGTAAGTGCAATTCATACCATAGGCAACTTCCATAATTACTATGATTTAGAATGGATTATTTCATTTTCACTTGAAACTGACCTAAGGATTAATGTATTACAATAATTACATGATTTGTGGTAAAGGAAATGGGTTTTGGCTTCAAGAGAAGATTGCTGAAAGCAGGCCCCACTCTTTCAAGTGCATCCATTTGTTTTAGCTCCTCTAGGATGTGAGGGTTTGGCTTTTAGGAACTATGTTCCATTAAGTAGGTATCTCTTTTAACCAGGATGGTGTTATGTGTAGGGAAAAACAAACCCACCTGTGGAGTTGAGAGCATGTCCAGGCTCCAGGAACACATTTTGCCATCAGTGGAGACAGTGATGAGGTTATGAGCATTCTGGGTCCCAACAACATTTACACAGTACACGGGATGCTGCAAAAACATAAACAAAGAGGATCAGAGACAGATCCAAGAGGAAATGCTTACATTTGAGTGTCAAACACATTACTCTAAAACAAGGATTAAAGAGTAACATAATCCTACTATAATACAAGCGTCAGGTCATTTGCCGCTTTTGATTTGAACCTGATTTCTTTCTAAAAGCTCTGGCAGCAACACATAATAGTGGAAATACTTATAAAGCTTCACCTTGCTCAGTCAGAATGCAATGCAGTGGAACAGAAGGACGCTAGAACAAATGAGGTTTGATGGGGCAGAGGCAATGCAGGGAGGTGAATTTGAACTACTTGAATAAGTCTCCACCGCATAGTTTGGCTTCTAAGCTCAACAAGAGTGATGGAAAAAGACAGTCTTCAAAAGGGTAGAACTACTGACTTTTGGAAGGAATACATGTTACTAAATCTGGAGTTTAATGCATTATAGTCACAATGCCAAACATTTGTTAACATTCTTTATAAAAAGTGGTTAATATTCATAACCATTTTAATCTGGGGGAGAGATACTAGTGGTGAGATTATTGGCACAATGTACCTGGTGAGATAAAATTAGGTTCTTCTATGTTACTGCAAAATCTAGGATAATAATATATTTATTTTTCAAAATACCGTTTGCAGTAGTATAGAGGCTTAGATTTGGCCAGGGCATTGAGAAAGGTCATTTATACATCCCAGGAACCATACACAAGATGTTGTAACCCTCTGTCATACTCTAGTGGGTTATCCCACTCTGCAGAATTCTAAACGGTAGGCTAAAATCATTTGCAGCTGTGTATTAAACACAAAATGGAAGGTTACTATGAGCAGAACCTACAGCAATTTGGGTTAGATTTCAGGCAGTTCAGCCACCAGTGGCCAAACCACACTTACTTGGTGCTTCTTTGTGCAAATAGCTGACAGTATCAGTCTTACCCTTGGTGAGTTACTGTCCATAATACCTAGCCACAACTACAATGAAACAATATTTAATATTGGAAAGTTGCTATTGTATAAAGGATGGTTCCCAAACTATTATTATCATATAAACTGCTGGTCAGAAGGAGTGGTAATAATCATCTAATGTAGCTACTCATCTGCCTCAACCAAGAGGTGGTCCAAACTCTGCTTAAACACCTTCCTTAAAGGGCAGCCAGTTTTCGTAGTATCCTGGGGGAGTTTTTTCTTCCACTAATGGGGATAAAGAAAGTTCAAGGAGATACTTCCAGTGCAGTGCCCTGTGGGACCAAACCAAACTAATCAAGTCAAAACAGTACAGCTTTTTGAATATTTATAGATAGTTGTTCCCTGTTACTCCTCTCCCTGCCAAATCTTTTCTTACCCAGACTGTCACTAATTCCTTCATCTGTTCCTTGGGTACCTGGTTTTCAAAACCTTTCCTATCCTGGTGAATCTCTTTTGAAAATGCTGTATTTTGTCTGATTCCTCTTCCAGTGAGGTTCTGAGAATAAAACAGAACTGTCTACCTATATTCTGACCAGCAGAATATAGAAACCTGGGTAGCATTGAATTATCACTTCTCATGTGATAAAAAATATGCCTGCATTTAATGCATGCTAAGATTACATCTGCTTTTTTGACAATTATATCACCTCTTTCCCCCGTGCTGATGGACAGTCAGCTAAGTCCCTATGTCTTTCACACCATGTCCCTACTGAAACTTCCAAATGAGTCAGCCTTAGTGGATCTGCACATAGTAAGTACAGCAGAGATCTGAAGCTAAATGTTATCCCAATCAGTTCTCTAAGTATCAGGAAGGCTGACTGGTTGTGGGATTGTAGGCAATGCTCTTTCCCAAGTCTCTGGTGTATGTAGAGCCCCAGGCAGTGTATTATCAAGCCCGGAGCCACACAGCATGCTAACCTCTGTGTGGAAATCAAATGGAAGATTGGATGTAACAAATTTTCACCTGAAAATGGTATAGACTTAGTAAAACTGAAGAATGGGAAGGCAGGGTCCAAATACTGTTATGAACCTGAAATCCATCTTGTTTTTCAACAAGAGTCCAGTGGGGCTTCTTTGATAACCACTGAGCATCAACACAAATCATTAAACACTAATGGATTAAGACTCAGAAAGGTCCAGCAGAGAAAGAAAGCAAGTCTAGAAGAATGTGTAGAGCCATGTGCCCGGAGAAAGTGTGTGTGGCAGCCCCTCCCAGGCTTTAATCAGCACTACTGGCCTGTGCTTCCATGAGTAATAAAACTCAGTTTAAGAGAAAAAAGAGGTGTAATGAAACCAAAACAGAAGCAGACACTGGAGCATGCCTACACACACACACACACACACACACACACACACACACACACACACACAACTCTACCATTAAGGAAGAAGAAAGCTACAGTATACCCATTTTTCCAGTATAGATGCCAGATTGTTTTTATTTATCTTGGAAATAAACTTACTGTGTGCCTGAGGGATTTTGTTTTACTTATGATTTCCTGTTGTCTCAAATGCATATGTGTGGTGGGTGTGAAAGGAAATTAGTGAGTAATCTGTGGTGGGCCTCTTTTTCCTTTTTGATCCTGGTACCAATCAGTCAGCCAATAGTGAAAGTTGAAAGACAGTCACAAAATTAACTGTTCACTTTTAGCTATAGATTAGAGAAAACAAACAAACAAAATCCCCCTGAAAAAAACCAAAACAACAACAACAACAACAACAAAACAGCAAAAGCGAAAAGTGGACAAGTTTTGTTTCTTTTTCCTTTCTTTTTCTTTCTTTTTTTTTTTTTAGAGGAAGTCTCCCTCTGTTGCCCAGGCTGCAGTGCAGTGGTAAAATCTTGGCACACTCCTACCTCTGCCTCCTGGTTTCAAGCGATTCTTATGCCTTAGCCTCCCAAGAAGCTAGGATTACAGGCGTGCACCACCACACCCAGCTACTTTTTGTATTTTTAGTAGAGACAGCGTTTCTCCATGTTGGCCAGCCTGGTCTCGAACCCCTCAAGTGATCCACCTGTCTTGGCCTCCCAAAATGCTGGCATTAGAGGTGTGAGCCACCATGCCTGGCCTATTTTATTTTCTAACAGAAATAACATCAGTAAGTTTGATAATAATAGTATTTTAGTTGTGATGATCACACTCTAAGTTACTCACAAAAGAAATGTTAATTTTTTGGAAGAGCTCCTGGTTTTGAATTTTCCCCAAAAGCTTACTGCTAAATGTTCTAACATTTGGATTTACAATTTTGGAAATTTCAGAAGGTATGTTCAGAAATACACCAGCCATCCAAACAGGGCCAAGGCATGGTTTCACACTACTTCACCAAACACCTGCATCAAGCCCACCTTCTCCTGGGCCACAATTTTCTGTTATTAGTTTGGGGAAATGGGGCAGGCAAGAGCAATTTCCCAAGATTCCCAAGAACTAGTTTCACCTGCAAGTGTCTTTGGCCCCAGTCAATCAGAATTGGGGCTGACTTGGTATTTGTCATTTCCCATTGATAATCTTACAAGAGTAGGAGATTTTTCCTCCTCATGGACTTAGCTAAACAGCTGGCAGTCCTTTTTCATGCCAGAGTGCTTTTGAGTCCAGCATATGAAACAAATGCAGCAAGCACATTAAGGAAATTGAAAACAAGAGTAAAGCTGTATCCTTGGGCATAATTTGGGCATTTCAGAGAAAGAACATCAGTTACCCTGAGTGTCAAGGTAGCAAGGATTGATGGAGACACGCCTGTCTTCTCATTCCTCTGAACAATTGCTGTACACACCTGTCATTCTTTTAAAGGAAATGACAGAGTAGTTGTCTTATGAACACTATACTGAACCTCTTCTACTAAATTATGGGTAATGGTTTTGAGATGTTGACTTTTAACCCCAGGGATTATATTGTCACTGTAGACTTTATGTTGAGACTTACACCACACATTCCAGAATTTAAAGTCAAAGTACTCTCTCAAATCACACATGGAAAAGGCCAGTTGGCAAAAGTCCCATATATCATCCCTTGATGTGAAATCCTTACTCTTCAGGATCTATTTGAAAATACGTGTTTCCACCTTATAATGTAAATGCATAGGGTTTCTTTGGGAAAACAATTCCACAGATGCCTCTTCCAAGGTTTCTCTTCACTGGTGGCCTTTGGGAGAGCCAAGGAGATCCTCCCTACATGCTAGCACATGTAGGTTATTAAGAGACATCCCTAAAGCCAGTGCTTCCTTCATCTACTTTTCACTCAACTTTTAGCTGGTCAGGATTCAATCATAATAAAGTAGATCCTCCTAACTTGGCATTACTGAAAACATCCATACTTTTTTGAGTAGAGTTATTTTCTCTTTCAGGGCCTGGCGGCTCACAGGGATATGGCAAAAGTTTGCATTACCGTGTGTGCAGCAGCTGATAAGGGTGTCCGCTGCACTGGAGTCCTTCGATGACTGCGATTGTCCCAGAGGACAATCTGGCCCGAGTAAGTCCCACCAACCACCAAGTTAGGATGGAAACGGGCGAAGCAGACCGACATCACAGAGGACTGTCAGGGAAAAGGAGAGAGAGAGAGAGATGCAATGTGAAATGGTTGTAGGTGACTTGTTTCTTCCTGAAAACAGTTCATCACATAAACTCAACACATCCTGGAAAACAAAAAAATAATTTAAAGCTGGGACTGTAAAAGTGCATAGTTACTAAGAAATTTTGTACATAGGCACAGGACTTTCTTTGGAGAGGCTGACCAATGGTTACTGCTTGAAATCTGAAATTTGAAGTCCTGTCCATTTTATCAAATAGGTATGAAACCTATCTTAAGTACATCATTGTTTTGTGGTCTGTAAATCTTGCTTTATGGACATTTCCCATTTGTCACATAGAATTGCAACAGAACTAATATTAATTCTCCACTAAAGCCTTTACTAAGCAATTCTTTACTTTGAGAGCATGGCCACATCAAGTTACACAATTTGCAGTGTTGGTAAAGGCAGAGTAATTCTAGATTCAAGGCCTTTAAGATGAGGTCTTCTTTTTGTTTTTCCCTTAATGTAGACTTCCAGGAAGTATACTGACCTCAGACTGATCCAATTGGCTCCTCCTAAAATTCCCTCACCTCCCATGGGCATTCTTCCTGATCTTAATTCTGCCCACTTCAGAAAATTCTTAATGTTATTCCTTGCCTATTTTAACAAACAACCAGAAATGGATCTCAGTCCAGCTCTGCCATGGTCTGTCATAGTCTGTCACAAATGTGGTTTCTGAAGCTCCATAAAAGACTACTGGGCAGTACATTTTGTAGGAAATTACTTAGCTGAGATAGAACCATAATGCACTTAAAGTCAGAGAAGTAACTGTTTTGCATCTGCTAAGACCATTTTGATTCCTACGGTACTTTTCATATTTGCATTTATAAGCTAAAGTAATTGTTTTTAGTCAATACATTTCATGCCTTAATTAAATTAAATGAAGTCACTGAGAACTTACCATGTATAAGGAAGGCACTGTACCAGGAATGGTAGGAATAAAAGGGTAGTCACTGCCCTCAGCAAATTTGTGCTCTGGGAAAGGGAACTAAAAAACATGGATGCAGATGAACAGATGGGCTACCAGTCCATACGGTGCCTTTGTGGAAAACAGAAAAAGGTATCCTCTGCAGAAACACAGTCGTATGGGCAGGTGCATGCCTTGGCAAATGGAGAGTAAGATGGATTTTCATCCCCACGTGTCCCTTTGGCCTGATGTTCTTGTGCAGAGCACAACTTGCACACCCAAGTAGCAGCCTTGAATGTGATACATGCTATGACTAAATTGTAGGAGCATGTGGAGTGTGTGGGTGTGTCTCTGTGTGTGAGGGGGATAGATGGAAGGGGAAGATTTGTTTTAGTTAGGGAGGGGGAGAGGAGGCTGGAAATGGTGAGATGGTTGGAAAGAACTCATGGAAGAGGATGAATCACACCTTGAAGTATATATGGAACATTCAAACAGTGGAGAGAAGCAACAGGCATTCCTGAAGGATAGGATAATGAAGGAAAAGGACTAGAGGCAGCAAAATGAGACTTGTGAGCAGCTCATAGTCTTTTTTGGTTGGGAAGGGGATTGCATGGAAGAATCAGATAGTAGGAAGTCTGACTAAGAGATTGCCTGGGCTAGACAGCAGAAAGCCTTGAATGACATTATTTGGAATTTTTTTCTGTGGACAATGGTGAGAAATCACAACTTTTGGAGCAAATGAGTAAGAGGATCCAACATCATAACTGATACACCAGCAAAGTAGTAACAAAAAAACCCCAAAAAAAAACCTATGACCTCTTTTTGACTAGTAAACTAAACATCTATTAAAAAAAATAAAACAGAACAAGACAAAAAACAAGAAACCAAACCCAGATCTCCTATCAGCCTAAGGCTTCCTAGTTAGAAACAGCCTCAGATACTCTGAGGGAGAATAAAGAATGTAGACTATTTTTCAATGTCATGTTTCCCTACTTTGAATGATTTTCAGTTTCAATTCCTTGAACATGATTCAATGGAGAACATGCTCATGCCCCAATCTGGTTTTCATAAAGTTCAAGAATAACTCTCAATAATGATACTGAATTAAAGAAAAAGAAAATAATGCTGGTCGGCTTCTTGTTTTACACATCCCACAGAAATGATTCTTAGCTTTCAATTGATGAAATTCTTATGTTGCTGGAGCTACGTTGGAAACTTTTTTTTAAAGCTTCAGAAAGATTTAAAATTATCCAGGTGGTATCGACAATTGAATTTACCAAAGCTCAAATCGATATGGATAAAGGAATGTCATTCAATTTTTTAAAATGCAGAATTCAACCACTTGATTGCTTCTGTGTTTCAGCTAAATCCAAGCAAATATCCCCCCCCCGCAAGCTTGTACTGTTTGTTGAGACTAAACCAGAGGAAAACCAGCAGTGGAGGTATTTATATAAAACTGAAACACATAGTTGGCAATCAACTAGAACCCAACCCCATAGAGTGAGAACTCCAATACCTATTTGTTCATTCATTAATTTGTTCATTCTTCATTCATTCATTCATCCAACACTTACCACCAACAAAGGACTACTAAACCATTTCAAAAAATTTTAAATGTCACAAAAGCCCCCATCTCAAATTCAGAATTCTATTTAAATTTGATAAAAAGTCAAGTTAATGCTAAAAAAGAGTAACACCACCTTGCAGCACCAGAGTTCTGCTTCCAGAGTCTACTTTGTTTTGCTGCAAACCTATTTTTACAATATAACCATGATAAATAAGATTAGACTTTTTTTTTTCATTTTCTGTTTGGAAGATGAGGTATAGTTATGTTCATCAATTTCACTTATATCTTAAGCTCAACATATTAATTACATGTTATATGTATTACATGACATATATGTATTACATGACATATATGTTAAAATAAATACAGATATATTTACATATCCTGTGTTCAACACAGGTCTCCAGGGTACACCACACTATGCACTATCATTCATGTAAAAATGCTAACGTAGTAAGATTTCAATTGCTTAGATGTAAACTTGAGAATTCAGTCATTTCACAAGATGTCTTTACATACCCTGATGTTTGATGTAATGGTGGCCAACATTTGGATGAGTGAGTTAATTTTTTATTTTTCATCCAAAAGTTTCCTTGCCTTGTTATTCTATAAGAATATATGTGTATAGATATATTTATAGTCTTAACTACAGTTTGGACAATGAGGGCTCCTCTTTTAATTTGGAAAGTCTACATCAACAATCCTCAGAGTAAAAGGTCTCAGAAACCTTTTACTGTTGCAACCCCCTGCTGTTCACACAGCTACCTATCTAGTCATTACTGTTGCTGCTGATTGTCATAGAATTTACTGACTGTGAATAAAAAGAGCAAATGATATCATCCTGTCAATTACCTCTATTTGGTTAAAAGTAAAAAACATTTCAGAAAAATTGGTTGACACTACTAATAAATGTGGGGTTTTTTTGTCCTTCATTTTTAACAGTACATTTTTCTGGAGATAAAATCTAAAAAAATTATTAGTAACACCATTTTATTTTAAAAAATTTCATTACTTCCCTATGCAGTTGAAATTTTATATTGTTATTCAGTGTTATAATAAAGCATTATTAAATGGAGACTAATAAAATGCAGACAAATGAAATTAACTGGAAACAAAAAGTTTCCTTGCCTTGTTATACTGTAAGAATATATATGTGTATAGATATTTTTATAGTCTTAATTATTTCCTATTTTATTTTATTCCTTAAAATGTTAATGTCTTAGAATTACTTTGAAAAATAACGTATGGCCTTTAAAAATTCAAATCAAGCTGGGCGCAGAGGCTCACACCTGTAATCTCAGAACTTTGGGAGGCCAAGGTGGGAGGATTGGTTGAGCCTAGGAGTTCGAGACTAGCATGAGCAACATGGTGAAACCCCATCTCTACAAAATATTTAAAAAAGAAAAACCAATCAAGTAGTTTACGTAAGTGGAAAATAATTATAAAGTTGGTGAGGATCTTTCAATAATGTTAACTAATCAAAGTAATTTTTCCTGAGGCTACGGTTGAACTCTATTTTCACAAGGCTATTGATTTCATTGATGTGGCCACATTGTTGGTCAAATCAGGGGCTCAGAAATACGATGAGCTCATATGTAACAAGCTTGATGAAAAACTGGTAAGACTGACTGTCAATATTCCAACACACATAACACAAAGACAGTGTTACGTTAGGAACCACAATTTCTAAGAGGGCAAGCATCACATTTTGATTATTTGCACAATATGTTCCTCCCAAGTTCGGACAAGCAAAATTTTGAGACTATATTTCGAAGACCAAGCCATCTCTGTTGACAGTTTCCAATGTTTTTAGCAGATGCCTTAGCCCAGAGGCTCCTGAGAAAACAGTTTGTTTTTTAATCCTGAGCAGATGGCCCAGTTACTGGCCACCCCTGCAAAGACAGACCACCTCCTTATCCATATAGCCACATGTTCACTTGCACACGAGCTGACCCACTAAACAGAGTTCCACCTCTTCATCATCTATTTAAAGAGAAGTCAGTTTATTTTACACCATTCACAGGGAATTCCACAGAGATGAGGGTGAGATTCAGCTTGGAATGTCTCCCTGCACTCACCGCACACCATCACTACATTCAATTCAAGTTAGCCCAGACCCGTCTTTAAGTGGCTGTGGAGGCTGTTTTCTATTTTGTGGAGCTAATCCAGGCCAGCTTAGAGATGGTACTTCCCCTTAACCACAGACCCAGATGCCCAGGGTGAACAACCTTTGGTCATTCCTGGCTGGGAAGCCTACCCTCTAGGCTCCCATTTGATCTGGTTGCCTGTGACCTTCCGTGCGTGGCACTCTGCCCACTCCCCAGCCATCATGCCTGGGTGGGAGAAATAAGGGTTCTGCTCTCAAAAGCATCGCCTATTTCAAGTACCATCTCTTCTGGGGAGAGGATGGTCCTCAGGGAGGGACTGGTCGTATTGTTGCCATATGCTGTTAAATGGTGGCTGACGTTTTATTTGCCTAAAAACAAATGCTTCACTGTCAGAGGGCTTTGAGGCAGACAGATCAGATGCTTCTAGCTACTAGTGAACTAGTAGCTATTTCTGCGAGTACCTAAGAAACCCACAAAGATATTTCTTTTGTTAATGGAAAAGTGTATTTGGAGAAGACTGCTGTTGAAAACCCCTCCTATAGGCAATCATGTAGCACCAGGCATTTGGCAACATGGAAGGTGTGAAGCTGGTCAAGACGACATGAGTCATGGGTCAGGCACTTAACTTTAATTGAGATGAAGGGAAAGGGTCTTTTTTTCTTTATATTATTATTATTATTATTATTGAGACAAGGTCTTGCTCTGTCACCCAGGCTGGAATGCAATGGCACAGTCATAGCTCAAGTCATAGCTCACTTGAGCTCCCAGGCTCAAGTGATCCTCCTGTCTCAGCCTCCTGAGTAGCTGGGATTACAGGCACATGCAACCACACCGAGGTAATTTTTAAAATTTTTTTGTAGAGATGGGGTCTTGCTATGTTGCCATGGCTGGTCTCAAACTCCTGGGCTCAAGCAATCTTCCTGCCTCAACCTCCCAAAGTGCTGGGATTACAGGTATGAGCCAACATATCCAGCCTCTTTTTTCTTCTAAAACTCTCCCTTCCTCTCTCTAAGTCTCTGTCCTGGGGTGCACAGGCTATTCTTCTAAATTCTAAGAGGAGTAAACATCAATCAAAAGTTATCACCCCATTAATGTGGGGGTGCCCTGGAGCAAAGTTTGAGTTAGTTACCTGCTCCTTCTTGACACTCTTTATACTAAGAAATAAAAAGCAGCTGATTCTAAAATTTGATTTCCCATAGATTAGAAACCCATCATCCTGATAACCTTTCTGAGAATTCCTTGGAATTTTCATGGCTTTCAGTATTTAGACCCTATCACGTGCCTTGTCCTGGCTTTTATGCTGAGAATACAAAGGTAGTGTGCAAACCACAATGACATACCATTTAACATCCACTAGGTTGGCTATAATTTTTTAAAAATGGAAATAAGTGTTGGTGACGATGTGGAGAGATGGGAACACTCATTACAATGCTTGTGGGAATGTACAATGGTGCAGCCACTCTGGAGAACAGTCTGGCAGTTCCCCAAAAAGTTAAACATAGAATTATCATATGTCCCACCAATTCCACTCCTAGGTATATACCCAAGATAATTGAAAAAATATGTCTACACAAAAAACTTGTGCACTAATGTCCACAGCGGCATTATTCATAATTGTTAAAAAGTGGAAACAACTCAAATGTCCCTCAACTGAGGAATGAATAAACGAAATGTGGTAAATCCATACAATGGAATGTTTGGCAATAAAAAGAATAAAGTACTGATGCATGGTATAGCATGGATGAACCTTGAAATCATTACGCTAACTGAAACAGCTCATAAAAGGCCACTTATTGTATGATTCCATTTACATAAAATGTCCAGAATAGGCAAATCCATTGAGTCAGAAAGCTGAGTCGTGGTTGCCTAGGGCTGGGCTTGGAAGGAATGAGGAATGACTACTAAATATGGGGTTTCTTTATGTGATGATAAAAATGTTCTGGAATTAGACAATGCTAATTGTCCAACTTTGTGAATATACTAAAAAAACACAAAATTGTATGTTTTAAAAGGGTAAATTTGTGGCATGTAAAATATATCTTAATTGTTAAAATTGTGCAGACATGTTTCTGACCTCATGAAACTTACCAACCTTATTTGTTATCTTCAAGACAACTGTGTCTGGACCCCGTGGATCACTCTTTCCTCAAACAACTATTTCTCCCTCTTTCCTTCTTCCTGAGCATCATCTTCAATTTCTACTTCCTGAGAGGCAGGGAGGTAGAAAGGGAGGATTGGCAGACCCAGAGTCCCAAGAACTGACTTTCTGCTCTGACACCTTACTAGCTGTGTGACTCCTTTAAGCCTTAAGTTGTTTGTTTGCATATTTGAGGGACACATTTTCAAATTATTTATTTTTAAAATTGTGGTGAAATACTCATAAAATTTGTTATCATCTTAACCATTTTCAAGTGTACGGTTCAGTGACATTAAACACATTCACATTGTTTTGCAACCATCACCATCATCCATCTCCAGAACTTTTCGATCTTCTCCAATTGAAACTTGGTACCCGTTAAACACTAACTCCTCATTCCTCCCCCATCCCCCATCCCTCATCACTCTTCACCAGGCTCTGGTAACCACCATTCTACTTTCTGACTCTACAAATTTGACTACTTGAGGTACCTCATATAAGTATTATCATATAATATTTATCCTTTTGTGATTGGCTATTTCACTTAGCATAATGTCCCCATGGTTTATCTATGTTGTAGCATGTGTCAAAATTTCTTTCCTTTTTAAGGCTGAATAATATTCCATTGCATGCATAAACCACATCTGGTTTTATCGATTCATTCATCAATGGACACTTTCTGGCTATTGTGAATAATGCTGCTAAGAATATGGGTGCACAACTAACTCTTTGAGATCCTGCTTTCAATTATTTTGGGTACATACTTGTAAGTGGAAATGCAAGATCATAATGTAGTTCTATTTTTGATTTTTTGACAAACCATCACACTGTTTTCTATAGCAGTGATATGGTTTGACTGTGTCCCCACTCAAATCTCATCTTGAGTTTCCACGTGTTGTGGGAGGGACCCAGTGGGAGGTAACTGGATCATGGGGGCAGGTCTTTCCCATGGTGTTCTTGCGCTGGCGGGTGGGTCTCACAAGATCTGATGGTATTATAAGGGGGAGTTTCCCTGCACGAGCTTTTATTTTTATTTTTTATTTTTATTTTTGCCTGCTGCCATCCATGTAAGACATGACTTACTCCTCCTTGCCTTCCACTATGATTGTGAGGCTTCCCCAACCATGTGGAACTGTAAGTCCATATTAAACCTCTTTCTCTAGTAAATTTCCCAGTCTCGGGTATGTTTTTATCAACAGTGTGAAAACAGACTAATGCAAGCAGCCGCACCATTTTACATTCCACCCACAATACATAAGGGTTTCAATTTCTCCATGTCCCCCACCAACACTTGCTATTTTCTGTCTTTTTTTTTTTTTTTGGCTTTCTTTTTAGTACTAGCCATTCTAATGGATATGAGGTATCTAAGCCTTATTTTTTTTTTTATAATAGGAGCATGACAGTTCTTGCCCTACCTATGGAACAGGCATTTTCTTTGCCTATTTTCCCTGGGGCTGTTGGAAGATTTGAATTAGGTAATGTAGTTTAAAGACAGATAAACAATATATTCCCATATAGAATTAGAAATTACTACCTCCTGATTCGAAGAAAAATCTCTAAACACTGTAAGTGGTCCAGAGGACTCTTCTTGCTCAACAAATCTTTCTCCAATAATTTCAGTAGTAATTCTTGGTCCTGTCCTGTTGATGGAGGTTGTCCTGATGATCTAGTAACACATGTTACTACATCATTTCTTACGTGGTTTAACTATTTTAAGTCCTTATTCTTGACAGTTCTTTCACACCTTGAATTAGAGCTGGACTCTATTGATCTGTGATGTGACTTTACATCTAGTTATTACTTATTCATCATTTACAGGTACCCTTCAGACTATTTTCTAAATCAGTACTACTCCAAATTCGCCTGTACCTTAGCATCAGTTGGGCTGCTTTAAAAAATCTCAAATGCTCAGGCCACATCCTATACCAATTTAGTCAGAATTTCTGGGGGTGCGACTGGGGCATTAGTATTTTGCCGTCAAATGTGAAAAGTACTGTTTCAAATTAATGGTTCCTAAGCTTATCTGAATAAAAAAAAAAAAGCACTTGGAGAGTTCATTAAAAACCCACATTGGTTACCAGAGGCTGGAATAGAAGGACTGGGGAGATATTAGTCAAAGGATATAAAATTTCAGTTAGATAGAAGGAATAAATTCAAGAGATCTACTGTACAACATGGTGACTACAATTAATAACAATGTATTATATATTTAAAAATTGCAGAGAGCAGATTTTATGTGTTCTCACTACAAAGAATGATGTGTATATTAAATAGCTTGATTTAGCCCTTCCACAATGTATACATATCAAACAAATCATCATGTTGTATACCATAGATATATACAATTTTGCTTGTTAATTAAAATGAAGAAACAAAAAACACAAACTCCTGAGTCCTCACTGTGATATACTTAATCAGAATTTCCAAGGTAGACATCTAGTGATCTGTGTATTTAACAAACACATCTAGGTGCTTCATATCATGGAGAAAAATGGAAAACACAGTTCTGAAACAATTAATTCATGGAGCATGACCCAGTATCATTGTGGGATAAGTTTCCTTCCGCATCAATGTAGGTCTGGATATTTCCCTTATGGAATCGTGTCATTTTCACAACCAGCCCAACTGAGAAACTTATGATATTTCCCTCTGCTAGAATACCATTCCTTAATTTCCTTCAAGGTTATTTGTTAGTTTTTACATCTCTCCTTGTTTCTCCTCCCCACAGAAATAATGAGGCTCTTAGAAAATGATAAATAAAAATGAAATGAAGGTTTAGGTCCCAACTTCTCTTCAGCATCACTCTCCATGTAGACACTAGGAGTTTTCTTGTTTATTGTCAGGAATGCTAATGAACATTATCACTGTCATCCCCGGCTACATGGCTATTTACTTGCGGCCAGCATTCCAAAATTTTTGTGCAGTTACTAAATGAGTGTCAAGCATATACTACACATCGCTGTATCAGTCTTACTAGGTGGGTAATTTTGCCTATATATATTTTTTGGATTAGGAAACCCAGGCTCAGAGAAGTAAGCCACTGGCTTAAGATCAAATTAATAGTAAGTGGCAAAGTCCAGATTTGAACCACAGCTTGGCTGACTTTGACACCAATATACTGTGAAAACTTGCATCGGTTGAATGCAGGTGCCTTTTCTCTTTGAGACATGGGTCCCGCCTGAGCACTACATTTCTTACTTCCTCACCTCTGTGGGACTGGTAGCCACAGGCTAAGCCTCATGCATACCCAGATGGCAGAGAGGGCTTGTGGGCTCCCTGCCTGTTACAGTGGCCTTGGCAGTGAGTCTCTGACCTCTCTCCAGTTGGGTTTCTGCTGCTGGTGTAGAGATCGCTCACCTCACTCAGCTCCCAGACTATCAGTTGCGACAGGTGATAACAGAGTTAATTAGTACCAATTGTGGTGATATTTACTATGAGGTGGGTACTTCCTGCTGGGAACTGATTGAGACCAATTAATCATTTCAAGAGAGTCTAATGAACAGCTAGCAGCTTGGAAACCAGTTGGATCACTCCTGACAAGCTCTGCATTGACTGCCACTTTGGGAGAAAATGCTTTGTTTTCATCTTGTCACTATATAACCAAAGGAAAAATGCCATTACAATCCAACAAGTTCTTTTGAAATTGAGTGTGTCTATTCCTCAAAATAATTATATGAATTATTATTTATTATTATGAAAAGTGAATAGGGCCACTATTGTGTGCTTTAACAAAAAGTGGAACTTCTTACTTACAGACATAAACACAGGACCTGAGGAACATTCTTCTGAACTCACATGATATGAAATAATATGCATACTTTTTTCACAGTTGTCTCATTGAGAGAGAGAATCATCTTCAGCAAAATGGTCATATTTTAGAAATAAAAGGATGGCTTGCATTTAGGAAAAAGTTAAAAAATATCAATATCTGACAATAATGCTCACTGAAGCACGTTCAGAACAAAGGTGGCTTTTTCAGTACTGACTGCCAACAGTTCACTAAAGTTTCTTGTCTCTTTTTTAGAAAATATAAAACCCAAGTTGCTAGGCCTAGACTGGAATAGCGATGTGGTACAAGGCGAAGGCAAACTTTGTTTTATTTATAGAGATAAAAAATAACAGGAAGAGATGAAGATGAATATATGGTTGCCTTTGTATGTTAAAAAGCAACAGTTTTCTTTAAATCAAATGTCTAAATCCTGCTTAATTAAAAGAAAGGAAGTTGATATTTGGATATGGTGTGTGTTGACATCCACCTCTTTGATTTATGAAAGTATGAACTAGAGAGAACAGATTACTCAAGACAGAAGAAAGAGTTCCAATTTGACAGGAAAAAGTGTAGGCAGCATTAACTTCGGTGCTTGTTAAAATATGAAGGATTAGTAGCAAAAAGGGAGGGAAGACTTGTGAATGTCTCCAGTTTAGGATCTTCAGAAATGTTTGGGGTTTCTGAGAATGGCTCACCCAACCACATGAAAGTGACACTAAGGGAGTCAGCCACACGACTTCTCTAAATTCAGAGCTGAGACTGCTGTACATTGACATCAAACCATCTTACTTGAAGTGTAGCCACAAATTAAATTTATTTTTATTGAAAAAGTACTAACTCCTTGCAAAGGGGGAAAATATAGCATTCAAAAATATGGTACTTCCTTCTCTTTCTTGACAGAGCAAGCATGTAAAAAAAGAGCCAGCTTCTTAATCTGTGTTCCCTTCCTGGGCCATATAAAAGAAGCAATAACGTTCATCAGCTACAGAATCCAAGAGAAGAATTCAGTTATCAGGTATTATTTTTTACCAGCACAATACAAAAAAATAAGCTAACCAGATTCAGAGCTGTTGTATTGGCAAGAGTGTCTAAAAACAATTGCATGATATGTGTGTCCTGCTTTGGACAATTTCTTTTTGAATTTGTAGGATTCACGGTTTGTTGTTTGAGGAGGCTGAGAAAGAAAGAAAAACATCCAGTCTCCATATGTCACTCAATCCCTTGCTGGTAAAATAAATCTACATTTGGAGGATCCACCCAAAGAGTCATGGACTAGCCCACATTAGATCATTACCAAGGCACTTAGGTCAGAAATTATAGAGAGACCATTAAAAAAAAAAAAAAAAACCTAAAGTGTTCTACTAAGCACAGCATCTTCACATGGTTTTTCTGAATAACTGTGGTGGTTTTGCCAGCTGTGACAGTACACAGAATCAGTTGGATCATTCTAAATTTAGCAAGAAAATAAAATAATTTGGCACGAATAGGTCTTTCTTCATATTAAAACTATGTGGTGAATATAAACCTTGGGCAAGACAATAAGAAGTGAAGACCTACGCCCAACAAAGCAATGAGGCCAAAGGTAGAAACAGTCTTAGTGAAGATTTGTCTTTTTCTATCTGCCTAGAATGACTTAGATATGCTTATGTCTAAGGCACAAAGATGAACCAGGTGACCTCTAGGACTATGTCTACCTTGGTGGTTCTATTGATAAACTGCTACTTTGAAGTACTAAAAAGAACTTGGAAAAACTGGATTTAAGTGCTTACTATAAGATATATGGAAGAGACAAGGGTAAACTTATGTTTTAAATTGTTAACCAATCCCAAATCTCACTGAGCCCTCAATTTCTACACCATTGTCGTGTCCACCGAAGAGTCTGAAGTTTTGCAAGAGACCCATAGACTGAGAATGGCTGCAGCATAGAAAATACCAGAAATGTGTCCTTGTGGGTTCATTTCTAAGCTGAAGGCAATTCCCTCTTACCGGAACATTTATGTGTACTTGGAAATTCAACAGACAAATGGGAATCAAATTCCCCAGAGTTCAACTTGAGCTGGTTTTTAAAAGGACAAAATAACAAACCAAGAGATAAAGAAAAATATGTGAATAAAAATTCTGGGGGGGGATCAAATGATTAAATTTACAACACTTCAGGGATTTTTCTCAGTCCACAAGGGAAATACTATTTTCAATCATAAGACGTAGGATGTACACATTAAGGGGCATTTACATAGAGGCTGAAATTTCCAGTTCAGGAAAAAGAGTCTAGAGGCATATTAAAGACCATCTGTCTGTAGGATTCTATTCTGAACCATGTTCTTCATTGAATTTATATGGGAGATATTATGGGTCAGCTAGAATAAATGTGATAATAAATTCCTAAACATATGTTAGAGTACACCCAATGTATGTGTCAGTCAATTATCATAATAAAAAGCAACATTTTGCTTCATATAAATCTAAATTAAAATGCACAAGGGCAGTATTTTTTTCTTTTCCCTAAAAAAGAAAAAAATGATTTTATACAAAGAATAGGAACAGATTTCCCAGTAATTTCTGCTTTGTGCATAGACTTGTGATGATGTGTCTTTTATCTTTGGAATTGTTGATTGGTGAGATTCACAAAGTGCCTTGTGCAATTCTCCAGGAGTTGAAAAAAAGGAAGGTGTTCAATGATCCTGTGGAGCCAGGAATAATATGAAACCAGATAATGAAGAGTTAAGGAAAGCTTCTAAGACTGCTAATGAACTCCATCCTGCCCTGGTAAGACCACCCTCCTTTTAAGTAAGAGGTAATTTAATATGCATCTAACTCAGTTGTGTTTGGGCTTCATCCAATCTATGAATATCAGTGTGATAAATTATAATGAATTGTCTGCAGTACTTCACAAAGTGACTATAACAGACCTGAAAAACAAGATCCGTAGCTTGATTTTCCAGCTTCCTTTGAATATTTTCTGCCCTATTCCTGTCAGAACATTCCAAAACTTGAAAATATTTCTTATAGTTCCCCACACAGAAAGTTATGTGCTTTGAGCCCCATTTGATTAGATCCACAGTTGTTGGCTGTCTCTATTAAATCAAGCCCCACACTTGAAAATGACACCAACAGTGAGACCAGCCAAATAATATAGCAAGAGAACTAACATGGCTCCTTTAGTTTCCAAAGGGTTTCTTTACATGTTAATTTCCCTTTGTAATCCACACGGTGTGCTGGGAAGTAGGTTAGTGAAAGGCACTGGGTTCCTATTTCAGATTCCGAAAAAGCAGCTGGAACCTTACATGTCTGCTGGGAGAAGGGGCAAAAACCGAAAAGGGAGTCAGGAGACTCACGTTCTGGAAAGACTCTCTTTCTATAGCTGTGTCACTTTGTTCATGGGACTTAACTCCTTTAGGACGTAGTTTCTTCAATTAAGTTAAGGGCCACTGCCTGAGAGAACAGGCCATCTTCCCTTTCTTTAATGGCTGTAGGGAGTTCCAGCTCTTCAGAATGCAAAAGCATGACTCTGTTCTATAGATGAGTCCTCCTAAGTAAAAAATGATTTGAATGTCATTAAGCTGTTTGTTTCCTGCTCTGGTCAGAGGACAGCAGCCCTTACGGTAACACACAAAGGTTGTGGGGAAGGGACAGGATGTGATTTTTTCCCCTTCATCCTAATCATAGGATACAGACGTAGTGGAAAGATCCATGAACTGGTACTCAAGACTGATTTTCTATGTGAAAATCATGTTAATTCTGTTGGGCTTAATTTCTTCATGGGTACAATAAAATGGATCCTTTGGAGTTGGAAGCCTCAGAAGGGCAGGAGATGGGCTTCTCTTCTCTCTGTGTTGTTCTTTGTGCCTCAGCCAGTTCCTAAGATTTGGTAGGCATTAGCATTAATTTGCTCTTGCTGCAGTAACAAATTACCTGCTAATCCCAGCACTTTGGGAGGCCAAGGCCAGAGGATCACTTGAGCCCAGGAGTTCAAGACCAGCCTGGGCAACATGGCAAAAACCTGTCCCTACAAAAAATACAAAAATTAGCCAGGCGTGGTGGTACATGCCTGTAGTCCCAGCTACCTGGGAGACGGAGGCAAGAGGATCACTAGAGCCCAGAAGGTTGAGGCTTCAGTGAGCTGAGATCATGCCACTGCACTCCAGCCTGGGTGACAGAGTAAGACCCTGTCTCAAACAAAACAAAACAAAACAAAACAAAAACAAATTATGACACACTTAGTGGCTTAAAACAACATAAATTTATTATCTTACAGCTCTGGAGGTTGGAAGGACTAAAATCGAGGGGTAGACAGTGCTACGTTTCTTTTTGGAGGGTAAAGGGGAGAATCAATTTCTTGGCCTTCTTTCCAACTTCTAGAGGCCACCCTCATTTCTTGCATCATGCCACCTTTCACCCTCAAAGCCAGCAAGGGTTGGTCAAGTCTCTCTCTCACATCACACCTTCTGATTCTGCTTCCATCATCCCATCTCCTTCTCTGAGTCTGACCCTCTTTGCCTCTCTCTCTCTCTTTCACTTATGAGATCCCTTGTGATTACACTGGGCCGACCCACATAATCCAGGATAACCTCCCCATTTCAAGATCCTCAATTTGTGAGATTTTAGGGTACCCATCACCTGAGCAGTGTACACTATACCCTATTTGTAGTCTTTTATCCCTCACCCCCATCCACCCTTCCCCAAGTCACCACTAAGGAACTTACTCATGTAAGCAAACACCACCTGTACCCTAATAACCTATGGAAAAAATTTAAAAAAATAATAAAAAAAGATCCTTAATTTAATCCTATTTGCAAAGTCCCTTTTGCCACTTGAGGTAACATTCACAGGTTCCTGGTATAAGAATAGAGATGTCTTTGGGTGGCCATTATTCTATCAGCGTGGTCAACAAATACTTGATAAACTTGTAAATATTTTGAGAAAATGATAAATTAAGCACTTCAAAGTATATGTAAATTCAGCTGATTCCCACAGCCCATCACTAGCTAAAGTCATGGTCACATATATATTGTACACTCCCAGACAAACAACCTTCATACTCACTCGAGCTCATGTTCACCTGAGTTTATGTTTTGGCTTTAAAAATGTACCCTAGTTCTATTTCACTTTCTTTCACCTGATAGAATATAATCTGTTGTGAGATTTTCCTAAAAAGGTTAATTTGAATTGTTTACTCCCATATTGAGACAGCTAAAGTTCCAGGCAGAATAGAGATTTAAAACTCCTTTCTACTTCCTATCTCTTACTAAACTCCTTTCCCAATTGCCATTTCAAACAGAACAACCAACAAAAAAGAAAGGATGGTAATCTTCAGACAGAAGCAGAGACGCACAGAGCATACTGTAGACCTACTAGCAAAAACCCAAACTCTGCTGTTATTTGCAACCCATGAGTGCATATACCCTCTTCCTTCAAAATAAATCTTTCAAGCCTAAGTTACATTAGTGGAACTACTCTCTCAGTAGAGGTGCTATCAACCATCACATCAATCACAATCCATATACCTTCTGTCAAAACTTTTTCAAATTTGTTCTCATGGCATGAAAAAAATGTAACAATAAGCTTCCTGCCACTGTCCCCAACCCTCCTCCCACCAACGCAGATAAAATTTCAGGATAGTTTTGGCAGACCATAGGAACATATTTTCATTTTTTAAGTTTTTCAATTGTTTTGAAGCAGTTAACATTTTATGCTGATCGGTATGTGTCACTTGGGAAAACTTCTACCAGTTTTCTACCAGTACAATTACAGGGATCCCGTCTTATCTTTAAATTAACCGTAGCTTCAGAAAGACACGCCAATCTATTATATTTGCCAAATGCCAGTTATACCAATGTATCATATATATAACTGGTGTCAAAGACTAATTAGGAATAATTGAAAGTTAATTGAACAGTACACTCAAGTATGTTGACAGAAAGATATGTCTTGAGAACTAGATTGACACACACCACCACTTCGAAATTTTCTATGTGAGTTGTTCTCTTCTTTTAAAATTGGCAGTGATACCATATCAATGACAAAATTCACAGATTTACTTATTGATGGACTTAAGTACAAATAGAATATTTCTGTGTGGGCTTGGAGGAAATAACTGCAAATTTCACAAGGTGAAAATTCTCCTGAGCAATTTTTCCTATAGTTCTAGTAGGTTATTTAATATTTGGCACCTACTTTGAGCACAGATAAATATCCTACAGTGGGTTTAACATAGCACATAACTCTCACTGAAGAACGTGAATTTCTATGGGAAAATCTAGTCCAAAGGCAAAAAACCCCTCTACTTTATTTAACTTATTTTTTTCCTTAGTTAATTCCATGTTCTTGAGCATGAGCCCTAAAATGAAAAGAAACTGGGCAGATTGGTACATATTAAGTATAGTTAATATCAAGAACTAGGGAAAGTAAGCACAAAATAAAAGTTGAATTCTAAATAACTAGACTACTTCCACAGTCAAGAAATGTCACCCCTTGGTGGCAATAACATCTTTCTTATGGCAAATGCAAGGTACTGTGGAAAGTTCTACTGTGTTTACATTCGTCAGGTCAAATACAGTGTTGAAGAAATTGGTAGAAAGGCAAAAAATAAAATAAAACTACCTTTTCCCGAGGCAATCAGGCCAGGAAGGCAATAAGAATTCAATTTTCCCGTATAATTTAAATAATGAACTCAGTTTTCCACTCCCCTTCCAAAATGTAGATAATGGCTGTAGCTAAGCTCAAAGTTGTCACACATCTGGAAGACTATTTTAAAATACATTCAAAATGTTTTGATTACATGATGCCAAGCATCTGGCAATGCAAACTTCTTTAGGTGTTTTTCTTTTACAGATATTCAGCCCTGTATAGACAGTCATTGTGCTAGATTTTGAGCTACTCATTTTATTTGTACAACAACAAAAATATGTATGCAAAGGTAAGGCTTTCCTTATGATTTTGATTAGGTAGATTTAACCTAATGACATTAACAGAGTTGCCATTGATTCTTATATTACTAGAACCACCCTCTAGCTGGGCTTTCTCTCCACCCCCAAAAAGCCCTTCAGAGGCTTCTATTGGTCAGACCCTCCCCAGGAACAGTATTTCTCAAACAAACAGCATTCACTCACTTGTCTAAATAGTAATGGACTTTATTGGTTTCATTCCACAGCAAGGATGAGGAAAAGCGAGGCTTCTAGTTTTCCCTGCCTAATAAGAACCAGGCTTAGGAATACCTGTGGTTCACCAGCCATCCCCAAACATTTGCAGGATCTTGAGGTAGGAGGTAGGTATTCTTCATGTGAGGTCGCCTCCCTCCTAATGCGAGCTAGCTCGGACTTCCAAAGCCCTTTTCCACAAACGAACCTAACCATTCCCGCCTCCACTCCACTGACCACCTTAAGTCAGGTGACAATGCGGCGGCTGGGGTGTTCCGGGTCAACCACGCACTAGTTATTTGTTTTGTACCATGCATTCTACCTCAGATCACCTATTCTTGCTTTTGACCTAGTGGGGCAGGGACAGATTCCTCAAAGACAAGGAACAGGTCGTATTTATCATTGTAGCTTCAGTACCTAGCACAGTGCTAGGTTCAATAAATATCTTGAATTGTTCTGAATAAAATGTCGTCTGGGGAGGCCGAGACGGGTGGATCACCTGAGGTCGGGAGTTTGAGATCAGCCTGACCAACATGGAGAAACCTCATCTTTACTAAAAATACAAAATTTGCCGGGTGTGGTGGCTCATGGCTATAATTCCAGCTACTTGGGAGGCTGAGGCAGGAGAATCGCTTGAACCCGAGAGGCGGAGGTTGTGGTGAGCCGAGATCGTGCCACTGAACTCCAGCCTGGATAACAAAGAGTCAAACTCCGTCTTAAAAAAAAAAAAGAAGTCATCTGCCCCAGTGATGAGGTAAACAGCATTACATTTCAAACTTGAAATATAATTAAACAGGTGGTCAGGTTTGAGTTTAAGTAGTGTTCACAGTGTAGAAGGCATGAATAGCAGATCAGTGGGAGAGGTCTGCAGAGCTCTATTTGCAAAAGGGTGCTACTGGAACAACAGAAAAGACTGTATTTGTTATGAACAAGTGGAGTATCCAGCCTGTGTGTTTAGGCTTCCTTGAGACAAAGAATACACACTTTGGGGGAGAGAATCATTTTTGTCTCCTTCTTCATGGAATATGCCCTGACTCTGCTGGCTTCAGTTCTGGAAGGCCCAGGGCTACTCAGGGGTCTAGAGCATCATCAGCAACAATGGCACTGCAGCAATGGAAACCAGCACCTAGTGGTGGAGCTTGCTCTGGAGTGGGTGAGGCCAGCCCTCAGATGCTAATGGGGACAGGGCAGAGGGCAAGGCCTTGGGGCTTGAGTGCTGGAGTCATTGCAAGCTGCTTTTAGCTTCACGGGCAGTCATTGGAACCTTATTCATGAACACATTTGCAATATCCTCTGAGAACTCCCGGGAAAAAAGTGGGAGAATGTGAAGACCCCAGAGGGCCTAAGTTGCAAATGAGGTGAGGACCAGAGAAATATGTTTTACTCTGTTAATATGACTTCATTTAAAAACCAGTGTGCTGTGGCCTAGGAAAACCTGTATTTGATTGATTGCTAGATAGACAGATAAACAGATAGATAAATAGATGGAAAACAAATTTGATGTTATGAAGCAACATAATATTTTGCCATCTTATATTTAATAGCATAATATATTGCTATTTAACTTTCAAATATATTTTAAATCAAGTATTTGAAGCAGTTTCATGACCCTCTGAGCAGAAAATACACCTAAGAAAAATGCAGAAAGTCTCCTAAAGGGTTAATTGTTCCAAGGTGGAGAATATATTTAAATTCAAAATTCCTCATGAAAACCAGCCTTCTCTTTAGGTTTTTGCAAATAACAGCAATTGGTGGCTAATATTCTTAACCTTTAGTCAGTTTTCTGTTGATGAGAAATCAGAATCAGGGATTATTACTTTTCCAAAGAATGTTTAGACATCCTAGTGACATGATCACTATATGAAATATAATTCAAATTATCTCAGTTTAAACACTGACTTTGACAGTTAGTAAAATCATTTAATTTTCTACTATGGAAACTATTTTAATAATTTTAACCACTTTTTAGATTATATCAATTCTTTGAGATGAAGTACGACAGAGAAATGAAAATAATCTGTAAATTGAGCTCTATTGCAAAAAATGATTTTCATTCTTCAGTAGGGGTATTAATGGATAACCTTTCAAGTGCCTTTTTTTTTGTATTTCTCTTCTTCCTCTACCTCTCCTTTCTTATACAGCTCAAAGAAAATCTAGCTCATGAAAGCAGACTCTAGTTAATGACCCCCTTCCCTCTGCTCTCTCCCATTCTCTTTCATTCACATTCCCAACTTTGCATCTCTCTTCTCATTTTCCTTTTTTCTTTCCGGGGAATGACCACCTCAAAGGATTAATTCAGAACAGGCAGCAGAAAATGGTAACAAGAGTGGGCAAATCAGGATGTGGATTCAGAATCAAGAGGTATTTTAAAGGAGGAGAGTTACTCAAATTAAACATATGTTAAGAATATGGGTTTGTTGTTCATGGCATACCTGCTGCCTGTGATCCCACCCTCGTCAGATCAGCCTTCAAGAGCAGAGCATTCCCAAGTGCAATAATAAATACAGTGGCTGGAGGGTATATGGGTCTCAGCAGCTCTTACTTCACCGTAGGAACACAGGTGGTACTGACCTAGCTTAACCAGAGAAATGGACTGTGGCCCCTCAGGCTCAGAGCCAGTGAGAATTCAGTCCCCAAATAAACAGGCTTTGGGCATATATAAATTCTAATATAGGTCTTGGCATTTATAATATGCTTTGCTTCAACTGATATTGCCTGTTTCCCAAGGTGTCATCTTTCTTACTTTGATATGTGTGAACTAGGCAGTAAAAATCCATTAGCCTTCTTTTAAAAATGCTGTACAGAGGCTTAGAGTGTTTTTTCGCTGGGTTGATCTGCCATCAACCTAAGGATATGGCAAATTGTGTTATGTAGGTAACAATGAAAAGCCTTGCCCTACCTCTACACTTTCATTTCTCCTGATGTATCATATTTTGCAGCTCTTTGCTATCTCCGAATTTTGCACCCAAACATCATTGATATGAACTAGTCACACATACAACTCACCAAGGGTTTTCATCAGGAACTATGTAGAATATAAAACAGGAACTATATTATTTACTTTTCCATTTCTGTCCTCCCTTGCTTTAGAAGAGTTTTGAGGTGGAGAACAGTCATGTAATATATTTATGGCTTGAATTCATTCCATTGCTAGGCAAGATTCAACACTGTTGGATCCCTCAGGATAAGTATCCATGATACAGACATTGTTTAAGAATTTGTAAAGGTTTTTGAGAAAAAATATTTTACATTTAGTTTTGGAATAATACAGGTCTGAGAGGCTCACAGAGTCCACTTCCCATTTATTTTGCCATTATTCCTGTAACACAAGTACTAGCTAACTAGTGAAATTTTAACAGAACAATAAAGGGTAATTTTTTTCTCTTTGCACTGTGTATGAAAAAAAGAGTACTTGCTAACTAAAAGAATAATGTGAAAAAATAAATAGTTTCTAAGTCCTTCAATCTTTGTATTTGCTTTTGTTTTGCATTTTTTATTGATACATCATAGTTGTACATATTTTGGGGGTACATGTGATATTTTGATACATGTACACAATGTGTAATGATTGAATCACAGTAGTATCAGTTTAGAGATATGATACACAACCAACCAAATATTCTTATCTCTTCATTAAAGCAGGCAGGTCCCAGATGTTTAATTACAAGTTTGAGTTATAACATAGCATTGGTGTTCTGTTTCACTTCTGTAACAATGTCCCAAATCAGCAGCTGTCATATCAGAGGACCTGATATAGTGAAAATTTCTATTTGCACAAAGGATAGTTTGGAGACTGTGATGATTTGTTTTTCAAAAAGAATCATTTAATTATCCTGATCTTCTTTAGTAAATCATATCTGATTTGAGAATTGGCCTTCTCTGTCCATGTTGTCCAAATTTGTGATGTTTTACAGAACTTGGCTCAAAATCCCTCATACAAAGGGAAGAACACATTGGAATGTTCTAAAGGCAGGAAATTTATGTAAAGCAGTTTTCAATATAGAGAAGTGATAATCCAGTGAAATCCTGTTCTGAAAATTAGCTAAATATTCACAAATTTGACAAAGCACACAAGAGAAGATGCAATAAAACATGTAAGGGTCATCATGAGGAGTGTGACTGGGGAGGGGGAGAAAGGCTCAGGTGGGGTTTTCTCTCCTCTGAGCACCTGCTCCAAAAGTGAAGTCTTTTGGCATGGTGTCATTTATGCCTGTGATGAAGCGCCTGGATTCTCTCGAATGCTCGCATCTTCCCCTGCCAAGTCATCATCCATTCCCATTTATTTAAAAAATTGATTATTAGATGAAACAACAAAATATATCTCCCATTACACATATTAAGTGGGGATATATGCAGAACTATTGATCAGTTGTTAAGGTTGGCTAACACATTTTCTCCATGTTTAAAACAAAATGAAATCTACAGTTGAAATACTCATGAATCCACACAAATTCCTGTGACAGGGACCTTCCTACTCTTCCTGCTCCCCCCTTGTTTTCTTCACGCACATGTGTCCTTGCTGCCAGAGAAGCACATTTACTTTGATAGTGGAGCTCCTTTAGCCATTAAAAGCTACAGTTCTACTTTTTATATTTGGAAAAATGCTCAAAATGTGTTACTTTCAGGGGGAAGTAAATACTGGGCCACTTTGAGTCAAGCCCTTCAAAGCCTAGCAACGGCGTTTTGAAAACTTCTGATTCTATTTTTGTAGAATCTTTGTCCCATATTTTCCCCGTGTGGATTTTCTGAAAGGCTTTGAGTCCTTGAGTGAGCGTTCTTCCAGTGGCAATTTCAACATATCTGCCGAATGTTTTCATTTATGCTGCTGGTAGGATACACGATAATATACATCATTAAATTAATACTGTTCCCATACAGCAGTTCTTTTCCAGGAGTTGTTTGCTGGCTGTCCAGCTGTGGGATCAGAGGATGGGATACTGTTGATTTTAGACATAAGGAAGGGGACAGTGGGAGCCAAGCTTTTAGTGATGAAGCCTTTTAGGGTCCTGGGGGAACTACTATACGTCTCGTGTCAGATAACGCAATATGCAACATCGCTGTTCACAAAGAGCGCCCACCCAAGATGAAAAATCACAGAGAAGGCAAAATAATTTACTAAAATGTGGACTGGGAGCACTCTCTTTTAGAAAGTGTCTAGGAGGGAAAGCTAAATAAGCCAAAGGAAAAATTTGTGTGTAAGCTGCTTATCTGCTATTATTAGCAAGGTGAAGGGATCCTGGCAACACTTTGTGGTCTTTAAGGACATTTTGGCTTCTCTTGGCATGATGCTCTGGAATTATTTTTTCCATTTTTTCATGCCGTCTCTGTAACACAACCTCTTTACAGAGTATATCTCAGGAAATGACAATTGGCTGTCGAATCCCATACAAACTGATTGGATATGACAGCTTAAAGGAAGAAATATTCTGCAGAGAAGAAAGTTTTTACTCATACTCTTATATTTTAATCCTCTTTTTACTTTTTCTTGGTTAATTTTATTATTTCAATTAGATAATTTAAAAATCAACACATCACATACCAACCTCTCCTAAGAGCAATCATAAGATTTGATGATTTTTCTGATAGACAGGATAGGGTTTCAAATTTGCATTATTTTATCTACTGAATTAACTATGAATTCTAAACCAAGCTAATGCTGCCATGTGTTTTTAAACATCTCTAATCTAAACCATCTGGAGAGGCATGGTTTTGCAAAGGCATCCCCTACAGGACACTGTGGATTTTGTCACTGCTTGAGGTTTTGGCAAACCATCAATGTTACTATAATTCTCTTTTGTGAAATATAGCTTTTGACTAGGATTTGAGAGTCTTGGTTGTGTGTGTGTGTGTGTGTGTGTGTGTGTGTGCATGCATTTATGTGAGCATGAGCACTTGGGTACAATTTTTTGCTCCTGTTTTCTTTAGTTTTCAGAAGACTATATTTATCATGAACATTTTAAAGAAATAAAGATTTTAATTTAATTTCAACTACTCAACATAACACTAGACAAAGTTATTGAAGAAGCAAAGATGTAATGCTGCATAACATAACTTATTGTTCATAGGTGCTGGAAATACTTTTTAAAAACTCAAAAGGAAAAAAACATAATGGCTTTAGAGAACAAAAAACAGTGAAGTTATAAAATGATTATGGATACAATAATTTGTAGCATATAAGGCATAAACTCAATATATTTTCAAGGAGATTAGAGTTAAAAATTAACGAAGATAAATCTTTCACCTAATAAAAGCAACATCTTGCTCAAGTCTTTGGCAAATAATGAACATACCATTTAAAAGTAAACAATCGGATATAAAAACGGAAAAAGCAAAGTATAGACTATTTGTTACAATAGAGGTTAGAAAACTTCCCCGGGAAGTAAAGATAATTATATTTGAAGAAATTCTCTACAATAGTAAATGTTTTCAAATAATTCCAAAAATTAAGTTTTGCTCAAAGTCACTGTCTAAAATGTATTACAATAAGAATGTGACTCTTGGAGAATCACATTATTTATTTATTCCAGGAGTCTCTGTATTTATTAATAACACAGTGTGTTCAAAAAGCCCCATTCATCCAACAATATTAGGCAACTTAAAGACACACACAAATCAGAAAGTGTGGACCTAGTTTGCAGAGGGAGAAAAAGCTATATTTTTAAAAAATAGATGGTCTGGAGTCTAGAAGTGGTTCCATCCCTAGAATATAAACAAGACAAAGCAATATACAAGTATCCCTCTCGGGGGTGGTAGTGGCCTCTGTCCACTCTTGGTGGGGACTCATCTGGCCTGGGGCAACTACAGCCCACTCCTGCTCTGTACTGGTTCCTTTCCTGAAAGGAGGGCCCCCATGCACATATCTCTGAGGGAGGGTGTTGCCCTTCTGAGACTTCTCTTTCCTTTCAGACCACCTGGTATTCTTTTAAACCTGCTCTTGCCTATATGAAAATGTTGTAGGATAAAGAAAATGCATAATCTGATAGTCCAGAGAATGGAAGCCCTACCAAAGGGGTCCTTGGGTCATACATATCTCTAAGAGGGACAGCTTTTAACAGATATGCTAAACTGGTATTAAATGAAAGTAGAAAACATTGGTCAGCCCCATCATCCTTATTCTTGCTTCATAGCCTACAGAGTGTGTTAAGCACGGCAAATGGCCAGTTAGTCTCTAAATAATTCATTGTAGCCATGTGAGCTACGTAGGTACAAGAGGGTTCATTTATGAAGCTGGGGCATGGGGCCATCAGTGTGAGTAGTCTAGCCAAGGAAGCCAATGCATCTGTACCTCGCAAGTGGCAAAAGCACAATAACAGGATGATATTCAAGCCATACACATAGTATAACCTTATGGGTTATTAAAATGCTGAGTTCAGCCGGGTACAATGGCTCACGCCTGTAATCCCAGCATTTTGGAAGGCTGAGGCAGGAGGATCACAAGGTCAGGAGATCAAGACCAGCCTGGCCAACATGGTGAAATCCTGTCTCTACCAAAAAATACAAAACTTTGCTGGGCGTGGTGGTGTGCGCCTGTAATCCCAGCTACTTGGGAGGCTGAGGCAGGAGAATCGCTTGAACCTGGGAGTCTGAGGTTGCAGTGAGCTGAGATCGTGCTGCTGTACGCCAGCCTCATGACAGAGCAAGATTCTGTCTCAAAAACAAACAAACAAAAAAAACACAAAAAAAACCCAAAAAAAAACCAAAACCAAAAAAAAAATGCTGAGCTTATTTTGTACTCATTGGTAAGATGCCCTTCTCTACCTGTCCCCAGCACTCTCCTGTTGCCTGAATGAATTGGTACCTCCCTGGAGAACCCCTCAGTCACAACCCCCCATTCAGCAACTAAGGAGGGAGGTCACATCCATGCTATTTGGACAATACACAAAGATTGCTACATATTTTGAATTTCATTCTTGTATATTCAATAATAATTATTGCTGACACTCACTGGGTACTTACTATGGGCCTGTCACTAAATACATCACATTTATTTATTTATTATAGTTTCATAACAACCATTTGACTTGCTCAAGGTCACAGAGATTCTAAGTGGTAGAATCCAAATTATAATTCCAGGCTGTGTGGCCTTATAGCTCACTCTTAACCACTATGTACTTAACTTCCTCCCAGAACTCAGAAAATACCTCATCATCATTTAGTTAGAAAACAAATGGTTAAATAGTTGGGATGAGAGAACTTTGGAATTGTCTCAGTTTCCCTCTATCAACTGGCATTTTAATATAAAGAACACACATATAAATTTGACCAATGTGAACAGGGCCTAGGCAATAGAAATAATTGAGAGGAGCCAGTCAGGTGATGGAAAATTAAGCATGGTTGGGGTTGGGGAAAACTGAAGGGCTCTTGTGGAGAGGGTCTCACCTCCAGCCTATCACTGCTGTGAGGGCCTGGCCATGGTGGGTACCTCCAAAATAATTGTTGAATGAATGAACAAATGAATGGGTCAATGAATGAATCTAAGTTAGGTGAAATTTCTTCAGGAATATATCCTAGCAAGAAAAATAAAAATGCCAAGGTTTAAGCTTCTTCCCACGTGACTATCATGCAATAATAGTAAAACAAACAGATGTAAAGAGAATACTTTTATCATTTCAAAGCAAGTTCACCAATTACTATGGACTGAATTGTACTTCCCCCACCACGACCAAATTCATATGTTGAAGCCCCCACCCTCAATGTGACTGTATTTGGAAATAGGGACCAGAAGGAGGTAATGAAGGTTATGAGGTCATAACGGTAGGGACCTGATAGGATAGGATTAGTGTCCTTATAAGAGACATCAGAGAGCTCACTGTCTCCATCCACCATGTGAAGACACAACAAGACAGTGGCCATCTGCAAGCCAAGAAGAGAGCTCTCACAGATTACATTATGTGTAAGGCTACGCACACAGTATAACCTTACCAGTTATTAAAATACTGATCTCATTTTAGCTCAGTATTTGCTGCCTCCTTGACTGTGGACTTCTCAGACTCCAAAACAGTGAAAAATAAATTTCTGTTGTTTATAAACCGCCCAGTCAATGTTATTTTGTTGTAGCAGCCTGAGCAGGCTAATATAACTATATTGTTTCTATTATCCTTATTATAATCTTAAGAGGTAGTTAGAATCCCATCCATCTTCAACCCAGACCCCTCAGAACACCCATCTTCCTGAGACCAAGGCTTCTCTCACCTCAGTGAATGGCTGGAGGTGGGTGGGTATTGCAGGGAAGGGAGGGACAAGACAGCAAACGTGCTCATATTGCAATCTGGCTCTCACTGCACAGCATCCATAATTCCCAGGATACTTCCTGAATGAAGCACAGTGGAGAAAGCCTGGTTCAGATGGTTGTAGCACAGTGGATGGGGAGAGAAGGGAAGGGCATTTAGGGAACTGGATAGAATCAGCTGGAGTTCTGTGTTGACAACATGTGTGCACATTAACGGGATGCAGCAAATGCTAGTAAGAGGCTAGTTTTTGTAATGATATGAAACTTTAGCTTGATCACTTGCAATGTGTCATGGCAAGACAAATAAAACGATTTTAAAACAACTTGTTTAAAGGTGTATTCTCATGGTATCCTCTTCATCAAATAGCTCACTTGGTCCCTCGCATACTCCATGAGGTATAGAAATAATCTCCTTCATTGCTGTTTTCAGATGAGGAATCACCTACAATACAATCTCTTTGCTAGAATCCAGCTGATAATTCTAACTTCCCCAGATGTGTCCCAGTGATCACTTCTGCTTCTTCATGAGTTGCTTTTTGGAGAAGACTCTAGAGGAGGGTAGATAAAGAATGAAAGCTGGAGGGGCAGGTTTTCTGCTTCCAGCTTCCTGGGCAAAGCAAAATGAAATTCCTGCTGTTTGATTTAATAAGAATCACTGTCTAGCTCATCGGATCGGTCATTCTCAATTGGCAGAAAAGAAGTGTTTTGGGATGTCTGCATTTCATTTCACCATGTATACTGGTATTCCCTTATGCCTTTTCCGAAAGGCACAAAGTAGCAATGTTGTGGCACTATTTCTCTGGTCTGATCCATGTAAGTTGTATCTTTTATGTAAGAGTTTAATTTTACCTTTATGTCAAAAGTTAAGTTTAAATTTTCCATGATTTTATTCTTCAAAATGTGTATGATAATCAATGTAACACTGGTTGAGGTTTCCTCTTCTGTTTTCCCATCCTGAGGCACTTTGAATATCACATTTGAAAACTGTTTGGGTCTCACTCTGGTTTTCATATTCTTAGCCATGGAGTTTATTTGGCAATTATAAAGCACCTACTATGTGCTTTCATTTTGAATCCCAGGAATTCATACTAAATATGAAGCAGTAATTGTCAAAGAACTTTCTGTTCTTTTATCTGTTTTTCTTTTTTGACCTGTAATAACCACTTCTTAGCCTAGCCAAGAGAAAAGCTTAGAAGATGCCCTTTTCTTTTTATCAGATGGGCCATAAGCAAGTTACTATTCTTTTCATTTAAAAAAATAAATAAAAATCCTTAAGGAGATTCTAACACTTCTCTGGTCAAAATATACTTTACAAAGTTAATGTCAATTAATTTATATCTCTGTGTCCACAGCCGTTTTGTAGATTTGGATTACAGACCACAATCTGGGTTGGGGGAGGGACAAAAATTGATGGAGGAAGAAATGAGGTTTACTGAAATAAACTTTACAATTGAACCAGAGACTAGAGAAAGTCTTCTTTGCATGGGATCAGGAAACACAACAATAAAGCCCCCATGACTCACCCAGGGTCACTCAGCAGTGCAGTCAGCTAGGAATGGAACTCCGAGTCCTAACTTTCTGTCCCTGTCCTAACCACCAGCCCACACTCCCTCCTCTGTTACCATCACTCTTCACAGGCGGAACTCTCTTTGAGGTTAGCAGGAACGTCATACAGAATCAAACACTGGGCAGCTGAGGCCGTGTGCAGCAATGACATCTGTACCCTTTATAGAATCTTAACGGGAAGCAAAGCCCATGAAGGAATAAAGACTGAGGGCTTTAAACACTGACACAAACGAGGTTAGCTGATATTACCCCACTTCACACTCTGCTTTGCCCTGACATAGTGAGGGTTTCAGGTGATTGTCAGCTTCAGGTCATTGTCAGGTCCACCTCTAAAAGAGATTGCCAAGAACAAAGAAACCAAATCACCAAAAAGTAAAAGTAAAAATAAAAACCTCTGACCAAGCTAAGACTCTAAACATAGCTTTTACATTTACCTCAACGCAGATAATTCTAAGGTATATATTTCTGATTCTATTCATTCCATTTAAAAGAGAAAGACCACACCAGGGTAAGCAATGCAGGGTGGTCAGACACATAATCTAATGACAGTGTGTGGAAGCCACTACAGAAGACAGCAGGAGCACTGCCAGAGTGTGTTATGGGGCTGAGTGGCTGATTTCTATGCAGGGTCCACCAATATTTTCCAAGTACAGACAGCTTTTATTGAAATAAAAATAGAAAATGCAGGACCAGAGATCACACTAAAAATTCAGTTTAGTAAAGACACAAAAACTGCCTGTGACAGTAGAAGATACTTTTTGGCCTTGCTATCCATAACAGAGAGAAATGAAACTATATACTAAAATCTTTTTATGAGTAGGCAAAAAGCTTGTCAGTCTTTACAAAACACCATGGAGCTGATGTCTGTTTCTTGTGCATTTGCTTTCCACTGACTGACACAATGCTTCTCTGATCCATTGGTTTTGTTTACAATTATACACTTTTAAAAAATATGAAGAATCAGCAGAGATCAGCAGGAAATGAATAGCTACGCAATTACTCCAAAATTATAAAAGTACAGTCATCATAAGGTACTCTTGCTACTCTCTACCTCTGCCCTTTTTCTAAGTAATGAATTGTCTAATTTTGAAATTATCAGAACATCACAGGAGAATGCGGAAGCACATTCAAACGACGTGATTTCCCTGAGTTAGTGTCTAGAAATGACCAGTTGTAATAAATAAGATTTAGCAAAGATCAGATAGGATAGAAGAAAAGTTATAGGTCAGTGAGTGAAGGCTTTGGTTTTTCCACATATACATTTTAATTCTGTGGGATCTCTAAATTTCCATTTAGGGTTAGAAGGTGGTAAAGATAGCCACGTCTAGAACCATGTCTAATCGATACCTTATAAGGGTAGGTGGCCAAAAATATACCTTGAATGGGCTGTACAGCCTTTGCTATCAAGTCCCATGTCTGCCCACATTTTTAGAATGCAGCCTAGGTGATGGCACGATGTATGCGATAGAATAAGCCTCAGTTCCAGGATTGGCTCTACTGCTCACTAGCTGGGTAACCTCTAAAGTATAAAATCTCTCAACTGGAAAAAGAGAATAATAACATTTTTCTTACCTCCCTGTTGTACAATCAATGAGATCATGAAGGCAGAAGTGTTGGGAAAATTTAAAATACAGAAACACGTAGATATTGCTACAGGTATTACACTTTAGTACAAAGGTAACCAAATTGCCTTTATTATGTTATCTGTCTACCTAACCTCCATCACTATTTCATCTAGGACTTCCCTGGCTGCTGAAAGTTTCCTGATTTTGTCTCCCAACAGTTCAGAAATACTAAATATCATAGCAATTTTGTTTTTCTTTGGCAGCCAGTGATATTTACCTGACCTTTATCCCAACTTCATGAGTATCACCTGTATCAAAGTGCTGACTACAAGTTTTTGGAATCAACTATTTTACTCAGCATCTTTTGGTAACTCTGGTATGACTATCTTGTTACTATATTTAGGGTACCTCTTGCTTTTTTTTTAAAATCACGAGTATATTTTCTTCTCAATGACATATATTGGATCATTAAGGGAGAAACTAAAAAAAATGTTTGTTGGAGAAATGTTTAGTCAATGATCCCAAAGATACACACACACACACACACACACACACACACACACACACACAAGAATGCCCTTTTCAATTAATACTAGTATTAACTATTGTTGTGTGGTAAAACAAGTAATTTACAGTTGATTCCAGAAACCTGTAGTCAGTTAATATAATTAAAATTTAAAAATCATGATAAAGATCATACATATTGATTATAATAATGTATTATTGTTGGATTTTTAAAATCAAAGACTTTCTGTAATATCAAAATAATTTAAAAGGCACTGTTTTTCAAAAATGTGCTTCTCTTTATTTCTTAATCCTTACAGTATTTTCCTGGGAATTCGGCAAACCTTGTAAAACTGAACAAAATTAGGATTTTGTGCTTCTATGTTTACAGAAGGAGCATATCAAGCTGACTTGAAAATCTTAAAAAAAATAAAAGAAAAAAAGAAAGAACCGTTCTTATTTCAAAGGCTAAGAAAATAAAGGTTATTTACCATACAGAACTAGACTTCTTGTTAAGTTGTTTTTGAGACAGCAAATTAGAAAAACATGGCCAGAGTTAGAGGTTACTCAATCAGGTTGAGGCTGGGACTCTATTCCAGCAGCTCCTATTCCCCAAATTATATCTGATAATGCTCTAAAGTCTAAACATATTTTAGTTCAAAAAGATACTTGGCTCTTAGATAGAAAATGGCACTAAGCTTCCAAAAATCAACAGGTTTACCCACCCTCTTCAAATGATGTCTTTGTATTCAGAGTAATCTGCCACTCAGTACCTCTGAATTGTTAACATTTGAGGAACTGCAATTTTGAGCTGAAATGTTTGTTTTTTATTTGCCTGTGCATAATCACAGGATAGGAGCATTAATAAAGGGGTTGGTGTATTGGCCTATGCTGAGGCCTATTATTTAGGCAGAGTCATGGCAACAGAGCAATGCTGAACGTGTACAAGGGTACCATAATTTCAGCCTGTATTGTGTCAAGGGGAAGAGAAGACGTGTCCGCAGAGAGAAGGAATGAAAAATACAAACATATTTGAAATTATCTCTGCATTTTCAAACCAGAAACAGCATCTATATTTCCCAGCAACTCAAGAAATACGAGTGGTAAGTCTTGCCCCATGCCAGCTACAAAAGTATTATCTGTTAAGTAGTATGGCGCCCATAAACTTAAAGTCAGCAAAATCCATTGAACTGCATTTCCAAGAGAGTAGGAGACTTGAAATGGTAGTGCTCTGAGGATGTCCACGTGGGTGGGCAAGCATATGTTGCTTTTAAGCAGAGGAAGTGGTACACCACGATTTCTTCATAAGTGCGAGGTCTTTATAAACTCATCCTCATGGGGGCTGTTTTAAATAGAAAGAAAATGACACACAGTCCCTAACCAAGCTTCCTAACTGTTTGGGGAGGGTTGCCACTTTCCCAAAACATTAGGTTACTGTGGGGGAATTTTCCAAAATTGTCAACAATTTCATTTTTAAACTGAGTTCTTCCTCTCAGCATAAGACAGATGCAATGCAGCACAAACTATATTTGGTCTAGCAGGAGATGTAAGTTATTTTTACTACGCTGACTCCTACCTGACAGTGGAAGACGTATTCTGGTGTGGTTTTCTTAAACTTCATGTTCCAAACCAAGGCCACTCCATCTGGTTCATGGGGAGCATCTTCATTGTTGTTGTAAGAAGCCACCATCAGCTCAGGGTACTAAATGGAAGAGGTCACAAGGATGAATTATGCTAAGATGACAACACAAGGAAAACTTTGTTATTCCTACATACACGTGGTATACTACACAGTGTAAATGGTGCTTTCTGTTATGTTGTGGCATACCTACTATCAGCTTACTGCTGCAACCTCCTGCAATCTTGTTTCTGCCTCCAACACTCTGTATGCGCTTGTCATACTCACCGGTAACTATCAAACTACAAACATCGCTTTACCTCTCCGTATTATTTGACACTTTGTGCTACTCCCTTCCTCTCCTGTATTGGCTTCCATTACATCTTTCTCTCCTGATTTTCTTCCCTGACTTCTCTTTTCAGTTCCTGCAGGTTCTCCTTCTATTACATAAATTCCAAGGAGGGCTATTCTCGCTGAGTAAGTTCATCTACTCCAGTGGCTTTAATAAGCTTAACATGCTGGTAATTTTCAAATCTATATCTCTAGGCTTAATTTCTCTCTGAGATGCAGGTCTTTATATCTGACTGCCTACTGGGGATTTCTCAGGGCTGTCCATAGACCCATCAATTGTAACACATAGAAAAATGATCTCATTGACTTCCACACGAAACCTACTGCTCCTCCATGTTCCCTATTTTAGGGTCTTGCACTAACATTCGCCTGGCCCAGGCCAGCCATTCTACATTATTTATTTATTTATTTATTTATTTATTTATTTATTTTTTGAGATGGAGTCTCGCTCTGTTGCCCAGGCTGGAGTGCAGTGGCCTGATCTTGGCTCACTACAAGCTCCACCTCAGGGGTTCACGCCATTCTCCTGCCTCAGCCTCCTGAGTAGCTGGGACTACAGGCGCCGGCCACCACGCCTGGCTAATTTTTTGTATTTTTAGTAGAGACGGGGTTTCACCGTGTTAGCCAGGATGGTCTCGATCTCCTGACCTCGTGATCCACCAGCCTCGGCCTCTCAAAGTGCTGGGATTACAGGCGTGAGCCACCATGCCTGGCCCATTTATTTTTACTTCTTTCTCTCTCTCACTCCCACACACTAAATTTCCCTATTTCCTCAATACCTTTCAAATGAATATTTTCTTTCTATCTTTAAGGTCAGAGCCTGCTAAATTAATTTCTTATCTGGATGAAGGCAGCAGCTTCATAAATGGCTTCCTATACTGACCTACTCCATTCTCCATCCTTTATCAGGAAGACTTTACAAAATATGTATTTGGCTAAGTCATTCCTCAGCTTAAAATACTTTAATGGCTCATCATTACTTTCAAGGCAAAATGCAGGTCACAGAGGATCCTTAATAATCTGTCATTTTTTGCCTTTCCTGCTTACTCTCCTACAACCTTCCCTCTTTCTCCCCACCTCCCACAGCCTATGACCCAGCCTCACTGGACTAGTTTTGAGGCACACAGGTACATCTCTGTACCTATGAGTCTCATACTCACTCTCACTGGGATGACCCTTTGGTGTTGTTTACATAATTAACTCATCCTTTAAGACTCAACACAGGCATCAAGTCCTCCAGACAATCCTGACTTAACCAACCACTTCCTTCCTTGCCTGTTATCAGCTCCCTTTGTATCATGTGTCTGTCCTGCCAATTAAAGCCCTTGTCAAATGCATTATAATTTTTTTTCTACACCTGTGTCTTTCACTCGATTGCAAGCTCTTTGAGAGTAGGGACTGGTTTTTGTTGACCTCTGAATCCAGGGTCAATTCCTAGCATATAATAAACTTGTGCCAAAATTTCTTTAATTATTTAAAATTTTTAATTTTAGTAATTCTGTGCTCAATAGAAAGGCTTTATATATCATCCTTTGTTGTCAAACAATGCTAATAATTAAAGGCTTAAATGCCAGAAACATAACCAGTAAAATAACAAGAAGGACTCTATAGTGATTCTAGGTATTAGAAAGACCTACTCACCCTACAAAAACTCTGTCCTGAGTGTTACTAAATAAACTGAGGATAAATCTCATAGGAAGTACTTATGAGTTAGGACACATTTCATGAAAATGTCATTCCTACATAGGAGTCTCAAAAGGCAGTCCTATTAAAAATAGTATCAGGATTATGGCAGACCGTATCACTCTCTTCTTATAATTTAATTTTTTCCTCCTTTTTCATTATTCTATACATATATTTAATGGAAGATTGCCTTTATGAATTTGAACACAGATCTTTTTTTTCTATTAAAAATAACTACATCTAAGTCTTATTCATTCTTCCAGCAGCCTCAACTAAAGAAATCTGCAGAGAGTTACAATGTGCTGGTTGTGCAGAGGAAGTATAAGCGTACAGTGACACACATGTATGTGGCCACCAGGGGAAGTAATCATTCTTTATTAAAAAACACTCTGCAGCGGATGAATCAAAGGCCTATTAAGAAAGCCTTTGATTCAAAGCCCATTCAAAGAAACTAACATCCAGATAAACACAGAAGTCTCCAGACTGTCCATCTGAAGTTTAACTATGTCACATGTGAAAAGGCAACTCTATAAACATCAACACCACCACCACAGGGGCTAAGGAGCAGCTAGATGTTTCTGCAATAATATCACCCAGCTGGGTCTCATTGTTGGTACCCACTTGCAGCTTTTCTTTTTCCATTTAAAAATATTTAAAATTATTTAGCTTTAAAACTCCTTTAGAAAACAGGGAGTGCTTTAGTAAAATTACCAGTGAAATGTCATTGGCATAATTTCTATAACTGAGATCATAAGGCCTAAAGATACTGATTTAAATTTTATCTCACGCAAGTTTTTGGGATTTCAAGGTGCCCTCTAGTATGTCTTTTTCCACTGTTTGTTTGAACATGACTAGTCATATTTTCTTTTTCCAATAAAAAATCTCTAAACAATTATTTAATCTTAAGTGTTGTTCGAAGTTATGTTTTTAAAGAGAATATAAAGAATTATGAAATTCATGATCATTTGGTTACTCATAGAGCTGAATTATCCAATACTTACCCTAGGAGAATTTTACCTGGAAATTACCAGATATGCTCTCAACCCCATTTTTTTTCTAACAAATAAATGAAACCTAGTTGGGGCGCAGTGGCTGAGGCCGGCAGAGGTTGAGGCCTCCAACACAGAGGTTGAGGCCAGCAGATCACTTGAGGTCAGGAGTTTGAGACCAGCCTTGCCAACATGGTGAAACCCCTTCTCTACTAAAAATACAAAAATTAGCCAGGTTGTGTGTGCCTGTAATCCCAGCTACTCGGGAGGCTGAGGCAGGAGAATTGCTTGAACCCAGGAGGTGAAGGTTGCAGTGAGCTAAGAGTGCACCACTGCACTCCAGTCTGGGTGACACAGTAAGACTCCGTCAAAAAAAAAAGAACCTAGCATTTACTGGAGAGGAAGGAACCATCATGTTTTAAGTGCCCGTTATGAACCAGACACTGATATGTTAATTCATTTGGTCCTCATAACCCTCTAAGGTAGGCAATGGTTTACTCATTTCCACAGACAAAGAAACCCAGAGTCCTGGGTTAAATAACATATTCCATGCTATGTTGCTAATAAGTGATAAAGCAAGAACCCCACTTAAAGTCTGTTGGGCTTCAAAAGCCTTCTCCTTTCCTGTCTGCTGTGGCATGCCTCAAGTGTCCCCTATAAATATGTAAGGCACCATGACAGGTAAAATATGTGACATGAATGCCCTGAATAATAGGCTCTTCTCTATAGGAACTTATCATTAGATGGAGGGAGGTAAGACACACGTAGAAGTAACTACAAGACAAATAAAAAAGCAGACCATGACAAGTGCTAAGACAGAGGCAGAAGCAAGGTTCTGTAGAAGCATGGGGCCAGGTATGCTAGCTCATGCCTGTAATCCCAGCACTTTGGGAGGCCGAGGAGGGTGGATCACCTGAGGTCAGGAGTTCAAGACCAGCCTGGCTAACACGGTGAAACCCCGTCTCTACTAAAAATACAAAAATTAACCAGCCCTGGTGGCTTGCTCCTGTAATCCCAGCTACTCGGGATGGGGAGGCACGAGAACGCTTGAACCCAGAAGGCAGAGGTTGCAGTAAGGGGAGATCATGCCACTGCACTCCAGCTAGGGTGACAGAGTGAGACTCCATCTCAAAATAAATAAATAAATAAGCATGGAAGCTGGTGTGGGGTGTGGCAGGAAGAGAAATTGAAAGGGATTTCTCAGAAGAAATGAGACCTTGAGCCTTGTCAAGTGGGTAGGTTATTAGGACAGATGACAGCAGGGACAAGAGTCCAAAGAGGGGTGCAGGAGACCCCTCTTGGTATCTGCCTGGTTCATGTGAATCTCTCTCTTTGGAGATTACCCCAGTCAACAGAAGCCTAACTTCCCAGGGATAATTAATTAATTGCAGGGTTGATACTTGACCCAGCTGAGCCAAAGGCGTTCTCTAACCAGAATATTGTAAACTTTGAACTGAGACACAGGACCTGGGAGCTGGCAAAGGGGTCTGGATAAGGACAGCAGCCTGTTGGTGAGGTCCCTCGGGCTGCCCAGATTCCTAATATTTCTAAGTTTTAGTTCTTCATCTTTTTCATGAATTCCCTAACTACTATAATGGCTCCCCAGTAAATTCCTCTGTCTACTTAACCTAGCCAAAGGTGAAGTCTTTTTGACCAATACAGTGAAGAAGAATATGTCCAATAGACATCAGGTTGTAGTATTAATATGTGGCTAGGAGGCAGGCTATATCAAGATGTATAAAAGAAGAAAGGCCTGGAAATGCCTCAGGGCATCATCACGGAAGTCACTGAACACAGGCTAATGATTTTAGATTTTATTCTGGGGGACAATAGAAGTCACACTTTGCAACTAATGATAATACTGCTACTGCTCTTCTCACTACTATGTCACATTTATCAAGTACTTCTTATGCACCAGACACTTTTAAAATTATTAGTCCTTTATTTTTATTTTATTTTATTTTATTTTATTTTATTTTAAAGACAGGGTCTTGATCTGTCTCCCAGCCTTGAATGCAGTGATGAGACCTTAGCTCACTGCAACCTCTGCCTCCAGGCTCAAGCAATCCTCCCACCTCAGCCTCCCACATAGCTGGGGCTGCAGGCATGCACCACCATGCCTGGCCAATTTTTGTATTTTTTGTAGAGATGGGGTTTTGCCATGTTGCCCAGGCTGGTCTTGAACTCCTGGGCTCAAGTGATCCTCCTGCTGTGGCCTCCCAAAGTGTTGGGATTACAGGTGTGAGCCACTGTGTCCAGCCAAATTATCATTCCTTTATATGCATTAATTCATTTAACACTCACAATAAGTGTGTGAGCTAGGTATTATTATCATTTCATGAATGAAGAAACTTAAGCCAAGAGAAGTTAGGCAATTTGCCCAAGTTGATACAGAGTGTATAAGTAATCTTTACAAAGATTAACCAGGTAAAAGTACTTATACTGACTTAACCTTATAGAGACTGACAGTAGGGAGACCAGTAAGACGCTGTTTCCTAACATAAGCAAGAAGTAGAGGGCATGACATAAAGTAGGTGTCAAATCCATGTTCGTGGATTGGCACTGGTGTCAATAGTAATCTTTTTGCTGTTGTAAATTTGATTGGATTTAGCAACTAACTGAGTTGCCAAAGATTACTCAGGTTTGCATCCTGGATGACTGCAGGAGTGGAAGATGCAATGTACATGTGAGAGGAGTGAGTATACATGGTGGGAGTAAGATCATGAGTCTGATTCTGCACACATCTGAAAACTGTCACGTGGTATGTGATAGTATTATTGACTGACTGTGTTAAATAATGTTCAATGGGTGACAAAGTTGACATAATCCTCCAGCTTCCCAGATTTCTTCCAAGGAATGATGTTTGATGATATTTTGTAAATATTTCAAAGTTAAAGTGTTCTGGTTTAAGAAGCCCAGGAGATCAAAGGAAAGCTATGCTGAAACCTTATAATTTCTTTCTTTTTCTCCTCTCAGTTCTATTCTGTTACATTCAGGAAATCATCCTAGACACACACGCCACCACTGCACACCAAGACTGTTCCTCTATCTCTCTTCTTTCTTAATATCATTCGATTGCATCTAAATCCATCAAAAAGTCTCTTTATCCCATAAGTATGTAATCCTGGTCCTTTGAACCCCTCAACAGTGTTGTGATGCAGGAGGTGAGGGTTCTAATCTCTTTTTCTTACGCCTCATATACAACACATTTTTCAAAATTGCAAACCTCTTCCCCACAGCGTAGGTAAGCAGGTCACACAAAAATAGGGGAAAATAAATGTGGTCTCTCCATGGTAGAGTTTCTGTTATTTCCAACTTCACTTCCTCCAACACAAACATCATGCGAGACCCTGTGTGGAAACACCTCCACAGGCAATGTGGCCCATCACCTACTGAGGCAAGGCGGGACCAGCCCCACCCCGTGCCTCCTCAGGGAGTGTTATCAGCTGACCCGGGAACAAGGTTGTAGTTGCCTTTGAGGAATGTGTCAGATAAGGTTCCTGTGTAATTCCCCAACTCTGAACAAGTGAACAAGCTGAGCTAAGTGTTTCCTCAGGCTTGGATCTGATTTCTGTGCACACACTCAAGCATGCTCAGAGACCACCCACACACTGGTGGAAAGTGGTTGGGCAAACCCTGCTTGTCTTCGTCTCTGCAAGATCACTCACTGTGTGCTTTGTTGTTTGGATACAAAAAGGAATTCAAGAGGAGAGAACATTCACCCACTTTATTGCTGATGAGGGTCTAGTTGTGGGGAATTACACCCCTCTTTTGTTCCCCTGTTCTCCAATAGGATTAATTGGGACTTACCATTTTATAGCTCTGCCTAGAACACCCTCTTCTCCCCTCCATTTGTCTAAATCCCAGTCTTCTGAGAAGCTCTGTCTGACCAGAGACAGATTCCAACCTCCACTGAACTTTGAGAGCACTTGCTATCTGCCCCATATCATTCTGCACCTTTACAAGCTCTTTTAGTTTCAGATCCAGAAGCTCTTTGTGAGAGGCAGTGGTTAAGAGCATATGCCACGGGATGCTAAAATACTTTGGTATAAATCCCCACTATACCATACCCTAGTTGAGTGATTTTTCAGCAAGTTACTTAGCTTCTCTGAGCCTCAACTTCTTCAAATATGTCATGGAAATAGTAAGGGTGGCTGCCTCATATGATTGTTGTGAGGGGGAAATAAGAAAGCCTTCATAGCAGCTATCATGGTGCTTTGTATATAAGAAAAATAAATTAAAAGCTAGCTATGACTATTATTCCCAATAAAAGCATTGACAACAAGAAAGCAGAAACTGTGCTGTGCATAAATGCTTAGGAGTAATCATTCCTGCTTCTCTCACTGTTCTTATGTCAGTGTTATTGCAGGAAGGAACATTGTTGTTAAGAATGTGGGCTCAGGCATCAGATGCTTAGGTTCAAATTCTGATGTCACCACACTAGGCTGTGTGCCTTTGCATGTTACTTACCTACTCAGTGCCCGGTATATTGTCAACTAGTTGAGTTGGCCATTCAGCAAATTGGCTTTTGGTAAATTTGCCTGCTTTCACTCTGAATGCCACACTGATGGGCTTAGACTTCTTTTCTACGGGCAATGGGGAGTTTTGGTCTAGGGAATGAAGAGATCAGGTTTTTGTTTTTTGTTTTTTGAGATGGAGTCTCACTGCATCACCCAGACTGGAGTGCAGTGGCAACCTCTGCCTCTTGGGTTCAAGCAATTCTCCTGCCTCAGCCTCCCGAATAGCTGGGATTACAGGCATTTGCCACCACACTCGGCTACTTTTTGCATTTTTAGTAGAGAAGGGGTTTCACCATGTTATCCAGGCTGGTCTCAAACTCCAGACCTCAAGCGATCCACCCGCCTTGGCCTCCCAAAGTGCTGGGATTACAGGCTTGAGCCACCTCACGCAGCCGAGTGATCAGATTTTTATTTTAGAAAGATTGTTTGGGTAGATTTCTCCAGGGGAAAACTGTATGTGGACAAGCATGAAGGTAGAAATATCAGTTTGAAGGTTAAGAATAGTATTAGATGATGAATACATGAGTGAAGACATGGAAAGTCTTCGTGACAGACTGGGTCTGGAAGAGAAGAGGAAGTTGGCAATGTTGATGAAAGTTCTGCTTTAGGCTTTTGGGTATATTGTGGTGCCTTTAACATACAGATCATATAACAGGTAAAAAAGGATTTGGGATATATGAAAATAATGAGTTACTAATTCATTTAAGATTCTATGGGACACCTAGAATAGTGGCTCTGTCTGGTGTACAAAGTGAAATTCAGCAGGGAGATTGGGCGGGAGATATAAATAGGCTGTTCGTGGTTGAATCCTTAGCAGTGGAAGAGATCTCCTGCAGAGAGCACCTCAGGAAGAAGAGCAGGGGTTGAGAGCATGACCACAGGGACCTCAAGGATGGTCAGAGGAAAAAGAAATCCTGGAGAAGTCAGAGAACTAGGAGACAGTAGAGAGGAGTAGTGAGAATTCAATGGAAAGAGGATGTTTCTATAGGCACAAGGAAGCTGACTAAGCTGCTTGACAAAGAAAGGTCAGGACAGATGTGGGATTAAAAATATCCACAGGATTTGACAAGTAGGAAATCAGTGGTAATCTTAATGGAATAGTTTCATGGACAGAACAATCTGGCTTCTTGTTTGGTACCTAGCACATAGTAGGTACTCAATAAATACAAATAACTGAGTAGAGAATTGAAACTGAAACCTCAATAAAATGAGGGGAAAAAAACCAACAGGCATAGAGAGGAAATCGTAGGCAAGTAAACAAATCTCTTATTTTTTTATACAAATGCCACGAGAACACAAGCCCAGTTTGTCCCAGCCCAGCAATAATTCTTACCTGGAGGGACCAGTCCATACAAGTGACCACTCGATGCTTGGACCAATGTTCATCATAGAACTGACGATTGAAAGAAAGATTGGCTCCAGCCTGAACATCCCTAGGAGGATTTAAACATCAGAGATAAATATGGAGCTCTTTCTCTATGCTGCTCATATAGAAGCACTGATATGGCAAAAGCCTGGCACACAATACTCTCTGAGGCCAAAATGTTAATCTAGACTACATACCCTGATCAAAATTAATGAACTAAAGATGGTCTTCTTTATGAAAAGCTCTTTCTAACCTGACCTGGCAAGGGTTTCCATGTCGTTCCAAGACTGTTATGAAATGTCAGATTTGTTTCAAGTTCCCATCTTGACCAGTCCCAAGCTTTCTCCAACCCTGGTTCAGGCCAGAGCCTCTCCCTGAAAGGCTCTGGCCTGAAGCAGGGCTTATTAGAAATCTCTGCTATCAAGGGAGCACAGCACACCAGAGGATTCTTTGATATCGATACTACCTTATTTGTCCTTAGACCGGAAATGATATGCATGTTTTTATTTACTTGTAAATGCTGACAGGCTGTAGCAGTAGCCTCCTCACTCAATAGTAAGTGATAATTTCTACCATGAGACAGGCGTGGTAGACAGTGGAGGATTCACCAGATATGTTCCAGATACTTATCACTTCTGCCATGGACCAAAACAGCATCTGAATCTAGGAGGATTACACTTTAGCCAGTGTTTACTTGGCTGACACTCAACTGGCCATAACACCTCCTTCAAGGAACTCAGTGCTGGTTATGCAGCTGCTCCACAAGCTGAGTATTTACATCGAGTAATGTTTGTTCTGGACCAGGAACTACGGGATCTGCATAAAAAGCTGCCTAAGTTGCTTGGGCTTTGGTTCAGAAATTCTTCTACACCCACCTTTCCTCTGTTCATTTGCTTCAACTGCTGGCTTGCGCCCTGCATCACTTAACTTATATGGCTCTTGTTCAGACTGGGTGACCTGGCTTCCAACAAGTTATTTGGGCTCTAATTAGTAAACCTAATATGACATTTTTTTTTCTGTTAACCCTTCCTCAGCTCCGCCATTGCAAACTCAGGAGATACACACACACACACACACACACACACACACACACACACACGTCCTGCCAGGAGCCTAGGATAATACTGAGCCAGGCACACAGAGGGAAATAGGACCAACAAAATCAAGAAAGTCATAGAAAAATGGCTTTTCAAAAAAACACAAAGATTGTAGAGCATCTATATTCAAAATACTGTTGTTTCTTCAAGGTAGTCTAAAGATGCTGCCTACTGTTGAGAACATGTACAGGACTCCCTTTTGAAATTGGTTTTCATGCCTCTGTTACATTCCCTTGAGCATCCTCAATGATGATAAGATATCGTCCTTTAAGAATGTATTTGGATTTTAGAAATGGCAAAAAAAATCAGGCCTGATGAAAAAGGCAAGTGACCCTACCTTCACATATCATTCTTGGCCAAAAGAGATCTGTGGCTAAGAACAGCTATATTTATGTTTATAAGGCTCATATAGTCCCTCCTATTCTCCCCAGGATGATGGTTGACAGTCATGGCCTTTTCTAATACCTATGCTACAGTCACAGAGGAAGTCATTTAGGGACACTTGCTTTTATTGATTAGTTTTGTTTTGCCTGGAAATATATTCTTACATATATTAATATGTTTCCTAAAAGGCATATACACATATGCATACTTTCATGATACCAAAAAAAGGAAACATTTTCCAGTCTCTGTTCATCATTACACACATCAGTTAACTTCTCCCACACCTCATGTTTATTTTCTTCAATTTCCTATTTGCTTGGACATCAGGAATAAATCTAGTAGATACAACATGAATCTCCTTTGCTGCTCAAAAGAATGTTTTCTCAGAGGATAATGCATGTGACTCTGCCAGTCTCTATCACCTGGACTGTTCCCCAGATACCAAGTTCAAAAGCATTTCACAGAAGCACATGATAATTACAAGGACGCTCTAAGCCAGAAGTTATCACCAAAGCCCATAGTCAAAGCTGTTCAGCAAGATCAATTCCAAAATTTCACCCTCCTCTGATTTCTTAATTTGGAATTTTCCTAGTCAGAACATAAATAAATTAGAATTAACAGATAACTTACGCTATTTTTTAAAGAATGCACACAAGAGACTAACCCATCTTTTTCCTCTAACTCTCGGCCGCTGTAGTCAAAAAAGATGTCGGAATCTTCAGCCAGGGCTCTTTCAATTACCCGTATTGTCCGGTCAAAAAAGATGAGAAATTCCTCTGAATGAAGGATCTGCTGTTTTTCTTCCTCTGTCAACTCTCTTGGAGGGGCTTTATTTATTTATTTTTTTGTAAAAGAGATTGTTAGGGAAGAAAAAGTGACAATTAAAACTTATCAAGAGGAACCCAATTCTTGAGAGAGACTGCTTATCAAACGAGTGGCAAGACACAGTGAAACAAATCATTGCTAATATTGATTCTAAATTATTTACAAATTCACACCAAAGGCTTCTGCAGATGTCCCCACAAAAAGATTGCATATTTGGTCTAATTATTATTTTGAAGAGTTGAAGAAGATTACAAATAAAAATAGATTGGTGTGTTTTTAGCAATCAGTTCTAAATGTTTTTTTTAACTTGAAAAACAGCTTAAATATGGCATAATAGATAAATTCACAAAACTATGTATTTATATATGCTATTATGCTATTGTACTATTGTCAAGCTGGCAATATTAAATAATTAGGAACACTCTATAATATGATCCTCATAGTACCTTTCCTTTTTCTACTGAGTAAATTCATAAATTCATTTTATTTTAAATGGTTAGTTGGTAAGGCTGACTGATTGTTATATAAATTATATTCAAAAGCAGAGATATATCATTCCAAACCTGCTTTCACTCAAGATCTTCTGCTTTTAAACAAACACATGGAACAAATACATGCTTCTATAAAACAACCCACAATTGTTTTTCTGCCTTACTTTTCTGGTATGATTAATCTTATCAAACTAAATTTGAAGATAAAAAATGAGACAAAGAGATCAAATAACTAGTAGCATGTCATAGTTTCTGAAAGTGAGCTCACCTTAGAGTCACCATTTGGTTACATAAACCATTCCTTCAATTGAGAGTTTTACATAAAACCTTAGGGAAGGGATTAGGAACTCCCCAGACCAAAAAACCATCAAGGGCAGAAACTGTCAGCTGAACCTTTGTGGTTCTTCAGGAACCCTAGTTCAACTCTGGTGGAGAGAGCCTACAATAAACCTTTCATTGGTTACTCTTTCAGTAAGTAGTACAGAAGCTCCTGAAGTTAAACTTACAGGAGGAGGGTAGTGCATTACAATCACAGGTGGAGCCTCTGGTGGAATCACTCACCTACAGGGTTTTCCAAGCACTTCCACAACCATCCTAACAACAAAATCGATTTCCACCTGGCCACATGGTCAGAAGAATCTTTTAGGTACTATCACCTGTAGCACAATATTTTATGAAAGTGTTACATAATTGGACTAATTGTATCTTGAAGCCTAAGAAATCTGTAGTGTCAAGAAGCCCTTCTACAGAGTCAAGTCATGGCAGTGGATCCAATGTTCGTAACATCTCCCTCTTTCTAGCCTCCCCTTCCCTGCCCCAGACCATGAGGCAGGGGGTCTGGAGAAACACGAGAATCTCTATTTGTACAAGAAACTAGAATGATCCTGATGTAGTTGGTTCACACCTTAAGAAATGCTCTCCAGGTAATATTAGGGCAACACGTGATTCATCCATTATAGCAGAAGAATTTCTCCTAACACACCCCACCTCATAGTTTCTAGCAGCCCTAAATAAAATTAGAAATATTTCTTTGCTGTCTAGGTCTCCAGAGCCCTAAATATTCCAGTGTGTACTGAGACTTTCCAAGGACCCCATTAACTTCTACTGAGCAGTGCTGCTGAGACACTAGTTTGTGAAATGCTGAATCAGACAATATGCACACTCAGACTTAGGCTAGGTAGTGGGGAAATAGGTGGAGGTCATAAATAACACAAAGAACTCTACGACACCAACCTGCAATCAAGCACCCTGCCATATGCTAGATTTGATTAGTTAATCAATGCACTGAAGCTCTTTGAGCAGTAGTTTTATCTATGAAATGGGGATGATACCTAAACTTTAAGTCTGGTTTAAGAATTAAAGCTAAATATGCTGGGCTTCAATAATTACTAATGAAGTAGCAATTTACTAGTCTGCTTTCTAAAACTCCTGTAAATGAGACATTTGAATTATTTCACTCCAGAATATAATAAAACTACAAAATGGAACTAGGCAAAAGGGGAACAAACCCTACTAAGTCCATTTTGTTTTGGTTAATGCTGTTACATAAATGAATAAACCTGACTAAACAAGAATACTATAGGCCAAGAAGAATGTCTTATTCAAAAAGACTCACTTGGCCTTGGTCACTGTTAATAGATGACTTGAGACACACTTGAAATTAAACAAAGTAGTAGGAATTTTTCTCCTTTATTTTTTAAGATATTAAAAAATCTTTCTAGTCTCTGTTTATCTTTTTGAGCCACTTCTATTTCACCTGTATCTTTCCTTACAGGTCCATTACCTTGAATAAAAAATGGTATCTATGTAATTTTCTGTAATTTTTTTCTTCCCTGTAGCTTATTGTCACTTTGATCTCAGCTTTCAAGACACACAACTTCTTCTCTAACAGAAACATAAATGGCTGATCAAAGTGTGCTTGCAGAGGCCAAGTTCAGGTAGGTGGAGCACTAGCCTCTCCAGATATTATGATTGACAATACAATATTTGGCTTGAAATTAAAATGCTACAGAAGCAAACAAAAGATACATTTTATATTAAGCTTTGATGTCAAACAGGGATCAAATGACATGATTTGTTAGCACAAAATAATCAGATGCATGTGCAGATGAGTACTTTTTAAAAGTCATAAACAATATTCAACTTAATTAAATAGGGCCATAGTAATTTTTGATTAAATAAACAAAACCACCCATACTCAAAGATCTTTAAATTGATAAGTGTTGTTCAATATCATGAAAACATAATGGAGTATCCAGGAACCACAACCAAAAGGTGTATTCAGAGATAAAAACCTCTCCAGGCATCATATTTCATGAAAGAAAATTGGTTGATTAATGGATTCCACAAAGTTCAAAATACAGGAATAAACAAATAGAATCAGAATTGTTTTACTCCAAGATAGATGCCATATTCTACCTCAAGTATCTGTTTCTACAGCTTTTCCCTATCCCTGGAATCTAATAAATTATTTTTAACAAGTTCATGGCATTAAAAAGATAGGATTTAATAGCAAAGGGCATACCAAAACAAAATGTGGGCATGGATAATAGTTTTTCTTATAGGTTAAGCAGAAAATACTATTATAGCAGATTTTTTTTCTTTGTTTTCACAACACAAAACATGGAGTGTTTCTGCCAAGAACTGGCAGCTAACAATACTTTGTGCATTTAAAGAGCTCTTTAAGAAGAAGTAGATTCTACACTATGAAAAGTAGAATGCATGGATGTAACTTACATGTAATCCAAATGATAAGACAATTTTCAAAGTTACCAAAATTTAACCAGTTATATTGAATTTGAATAACATGTATGAAAGAAATTTTACAGAATACATGAAATTCAGAAGACAGCCTAATTCTACAAATTTGTGGCCTGCAAAATTACAATAGAATATAAATTTCACTTAGGGTCCACTTTTTATTGTAGAAATGTTAATTTTTCTTATTTTTTATATGAAAATACTTTTAAATAAATCTTTCAAGCATGATTGTATTTCATTTGCCGTGTTTTCTTGACCTTTCCTGCTATCCTCAATGTATACTTTGTCAGTTTCTCTTTAATTAATTTATACTACTTTAAACTATATCTTTTGGGTTCTGCCTTCTTGTGATTTTTTTCCCTCTATAAAAATGTACAATTTATAATGAAGTTCACAACTTATACTGAGTTTTTTAGTATCTCATTTCTGTTAAAAGATATTTTAAAAATATCTACTACAAATATGTCCTGACTTGTTTCAGTGATGCTGCTTTAAATTTCAATATAAAAATTATTCAAAAATATTTTTCAAGGATCTCTAAGAGATAAAAAATAAAACCCATGTAGCCAGGAAAAACATTAGATTAAATAAGGACAGTGGCTCTCATGGGAATTTTACAGTGAAATCAGTTCATAAACAGCAGCAAGAAACCAAACCAAACTAAAAGTGAAGGACATCTTTCTTTGACGTCAATGTGAGGTTTATGAGTTGATTTGTATTTACAAAAATGTTAGGTTCCCAGTTGTATTGTTTTGAATTTCTAAACATGAAGACATGAGGACACTGACATATAGAAGTTTTCTAAACTTTGATTATAAGCTAAAATATACCTGATTTTTTTCCTACTCTATGGCAGAAAAAAGTGAAACAGTAATAAATCAAGACTGCATTTCTTTAGTGTTTAATGCACTTTGATGTCACGTGGGCAAAAATGTCAAAAGTTAGTGAGTACTGATTATTTTCCCCATGTCCCCCTCACCACCTTTTTCTTCCTTTTCACTCCAAAAAAAAAAAAAAAAAAAAAAAAAAGCCAGATTTCTCAAAAATGTGTTCCCTGGTTTGAAACTGTGTATGTCAAGTTTCAGCCCAGAGCAAATCTTTATGGCTGAGTAATAAATCCTTGAAACGCAAGGTTCGTAATGGAAGTGCTGACACAGCCCTAACTACTATGCAGTCGTGTGAATGGCGCCACGATTATATCTGCTAGAGATTCTTTCAAAAGTTTGCAAAATACTGTCTTGCTTTAAAAAAAAAAAAAGCCAGAGTTTGATGCCAACATAAACATCCTTTTAACCCATTATGTGTTAATTTGCAGAAAAGCCATTAATGGAGAATAAGGCATACAGTGCAGCAGGAACAGGAAATGTTCTTTCAAACTTCTTTTTGACTTTTAACATGACTTTAATCAATTCCATGAAGCACGAGTAACAGTTAAAACTGAAGGGTGTTTTCGCTTGGAACTTAAGAAGGAGGTTGCTTTGCTTTGCTGGAGAAGACGACTTGGAGATTGGGGCTGGGGTGGTGGTGATGGGGAATCCATGCCAAGACACACAAAATATACCCTGGCTCCTTATCACCAGGTGTATTTTAAGAATATTTTGCAAAGGGTAAAGGAGTACTTTAATAGATCCTGACTTATTTTGTACCTCACTACACCTGTAATCATGATATTCTACTCACCAACTTTTTTTTTAAAAGACGTTTTTAGTATAAGTTTAAATGTGAGATCTCTTCGATCAAATTCATTTAGACTCTCAGAAAGAGTAAGCCTTGTGTCTTCTGTGGATGCCACTGTTAAAATGCTGAATCTTCTCCTAAACCTTAGTCACACCCTAGAACTTGACAACGATTGAACTTCTCAATGTCTGAGACCTAGCACAGTAACAGAAATAAGACCTTTAATGATAGTTCTCCAACAAGTTTAAAGGACTTTGCTTGCATCTCTATTGAAAGTTCCACATTTTTTAAATGTACTAGCTAGCTGGGGCCCCTGTAACCATGTTCTCATTTCAAAGCTATGGGCTATGGCAAAGCTGAGCACAGAGAGCTGGGGCCCCCAAGGGCATCCATCCCATCAGGGTAGAAACCAGTTATAGACCCAGGCACTGCAAGGCAAGACTACTAATGATAATTTAGCAAACTTTTATACAGCACTTACTTTGTGCCAAGTATTGTTCCATACTAGCCCTGTTGAGTTTTTTAAAAACCTGTTTGCCAGATGGGGAAACTGAGGCAAAAAAAGGTTAAACTAACTTAGTCTGTAGTGATCACTCAGCTAATAATTGACAGAGACAAGATTTTATCCCAGGTAGTGTGGCTCCAGAGGCTATGCTTTTTCATTACTATCTTGCACTGGCCTTTAGATACCTGAGATTGCAAAAAACAAACCAAAACTAAATTAAACACCTACACTCAGACACACTTCAAATGAGCCTCAATATGAAGTGATTTTTAATAATTTTCTAAAATTGTGGCTGGGCGTGGTGGTTCACGCCTATAATCCCAGCACTTTGGGAGGCTAAGGCGGGTGGATCACGAGGTCAGGAGTTCGAGACCAGCCTGGCCAGTATGGTGAAACCCCGTCTCTACTACAAATACAAAAATTAGCCAGGCATGGTGGCACACACCTGTAATCTCAGCTACTCGGGATGCTAAGGCAGGAGAATAGCTTGAACCTGGGAGGCAGAGGTTGCAGTGAGCTGAGATCACGTCGCTGCACTGCAGCCTGGGACAGAGTGAGACTCTGTCTCAAAAAAAAAAAAATTGTCCCATTTAACTCCATATGATATGGATGTCATTTGTAATAGGCATTTGGGCTTCTCTAATTTTCTCATGAGAGCACAAGGTGTTGAAGTGAGTACTTGGGATCAGTAGGTATCAATTCCTACAAAGACCCCAGTGCTGAACATCTGCCACACTGTGCCAGAGCCACAACCATCTTTAAAATTTACAGATCAAATGAGCTTCTAATCAGAGTTATATTGATCTATACTTGGGACACTCATTAGGAAATATGGAAGAACCTTTTTAATCTACACAGTTCTTAGGTCCCGCTCTTCATTTATTTGCCAGCAAGTAAGACAAGTTCAAAATTCTCTTCTGTCTCCATGGGCTGAGAATCTCAAAGTAATACAAAATTGGGTTTGTAAGGAAATGTCACCTGCAGTATTTCATGTCCCTCCTTTTCTTTTCTTTTTTCTTTCTTTCTACTTACAGGCACAGTGCTATTATGAGGAGGGCAACAGGGTAAAATGTAAACTTTGGATTTAACTCTAAATCTTGGCTCATGTACTTGTACATTATGTATCCTTGGATAAAGTTTTAGACCTCTCTCTTCCTAGTTCTCTGCCTATAAATAGGGGTAATAACAGTATCTGCTTCAAAATGATGTTGTAAGGAGTGAGTAATATCTGTGGAGTGCTTAGAAGAGAGCCAAGGGCATAGTGAGCCCTTAATAAATGTTAGTTATTATTATCACCAGAACATGTAAGAGGTTGTTCCTCCTTATACAGGCAGAGTTGCAGAAGAAAAATTTTAATAGCAGAGTTACTAGCGTTGATCACTATTAATGTTTCTATGTAGATCACATGAAAACACTTTAGAATTTATTCACAAAATAATTATATCTAGTCCTTTGCTTTACTGTTATCATTGGGAATATATGGTTCTGTGAATGAGATAACATGGCAATTGGTAACAAGTGTTCTGGAATTGTGACTAAAATTGTTACTGAAATTGTGGACGTTTTGCACTTTATTTGCCTTTATCAGTCAAGAAATAAATGACTCTTGCTTTGGAGATTACAGTTTATGTTGCTAAATGTAATGTATTGAACAATCATAGAAAATCTTCCATATAGGGGATGCAAATTCAATTTTTACTTAGCTCTATAGTCTCTTATATTAGTAAAGGCAAACAAAACAAAACAATAAAATGATTACTCAGTTTATTTTCCATATCATACCTTCCTTCACTTCCTGTTTTTTGTCCTGATTTTCCAGTTCTGAGTCCTGGCCAACTTTAGATTCCACCATTTCCTCATCTTCCTCATCCTCTAGAAAAAAGAAAGAGAAAAATACAATATTTTCTTTCCTCCAAATCAAAGTCTTTGGTTGATAGTGGGAGGTAGGGGTAAAGGGTAAAGTTCCAATCATTTAGGGCAACATCTAAGTAAATCAGTCCACAATGAATGCCCAAGATAAATGTTCATGAATTTATGAATAAATTATCTCCAAAAGGGGCCTCTTTGAAAATTTCCCCAAGCTGTTGAGAAAACCATACTGAATGGGCACCTGTACATCCAGCTCCAGGCCCTCACCACGTGGGATGTCTTGGAATTGCCTCCCTGACCTCTGAAGCTTCTTCGAAGATGGCCCAGGAACAGATTTTAAAATGTTTCCACCTGGAGCACATTTCCCACAGGGAACACCTGTTGTACAGATGACTCATTTCCAATTTAATTCTCACCAAATTAATTTGTTTTTGACCTACAGGAAAGGGTTAAATACAGGTCTGACCCCAGGTCAAATGCCATTGGCAAGTAAACAACCAAGGGAAGGGCCCCCAAAGTCAATGCCATTGGTCTGGGAGAAAACAACTCAAAATGGTATTTACACATTCAGAGCAGTTCATGCATTAATGTGAATTTAATGAGACTAACAAGTCGACTGAGTTGGCTACCCCTGCCAGATGTTACAGTGCCCTTCCTGCCCTATGCAAATGTATGCTCATTTTTCCTCTACTCTCAACTTGCCTTTCCTAGAGGCCCCTTCCATTATATAGTGTTTGAAAGCATCAGGCACAGTGTAGAAGGTTTAAGGGAGTGTCAAGGTGTCACAAGAAAATCCAAATTATAGAAAATAAAACGACATAAAAAATTAAAATTTGCTTTCAGTCTTTAAATATGGTATTGTACTCCATGTAGGTTATTGATTTCATTGGTTCAAAGAGAGTTGAAAAGAAATGACTTTGCTTCTTCCTCCACCCCATATGTTCGCTCATTCAACAAATATTTACAGACCTATAAAATCTCAAGCTCTGTAGATAGTCCCGTTTCCATCACAATAAATCCTGAGATTTATCAACTCAAAATTTCAGCACCAATCACTTAGAATACATTATAAATGCACACTTAAATGCTCAAATAAATAAGTAACTTACAAAATTCTAAGTAAGCAACTTACAGAATTCTAACTAATATTAAGCAAGTGATTTGTGGTAGGAATATCAATTTTAAAAATACAGATATGTAAAATATAGCATTGCAATTTAGATATTAGAATTTTGAAAACATGAATTTTAATTGAAATATCATACTCTATAGGCATGCAGGTAGACTGTGGAGCCAAGCTCACTACTTTATAACCACATTATACATATATAAGAAAGGATGTAAAACATTTTAAAGAACTGACATTTATTATTCACACAAACCTGAGGTCACAGTTATGAGATGAAAAGTCGCACCTAAAATTTTGAAAAGAACACTGTTACCTAGACTTTTAAACAAATAAATCTTTTAAAAGTTAAGTTATAAATAGCATATCTATGTCCTTATCCGTATGTGAACATATTAATGCTATCTCTTCACACACACACACAAAATTCCATTTGGAAAGTCCTAATCAAAATATCCATCTCGACATGACGTATCTTCCTGACCCAAGGACTAAACACAAAGTCTAGTGAAGAACTAGCTAGAGAGAAGTTTCCTCTTTCAGTAATCCTTGGATGAAGAGGCAGTTTTCAAAAGGCCTCTCAGCTGTTGGTAAGTGGCTTTATTTCTGAACCTTCTGGAGACATTTCTTTAACAGATTCAGCAGCCATGCCCTGCCACTTATTAAGTACAGGGCAAATACAACAAAAAACAAAGGTGATAAGGCCAGAACTATGGGTTGAACTGTGTCCCCAAAATTCATATGTTGAAGTAATAAACCCCAGTACCTCAGAATGTGGCCTTATTTGAAAATAGGGTCACTGCAGATATAATTAGTTCAAATGAGGTTATAATGGAGTAGGGCACCTAATCCAACATGACTGGTGCCATTATAAAAAGGGGAAATTGGATGCAGACACACAAACATAGGAAGAACACCATGTGGAGATGAAGGCAAAGATCGGCCTGATGCTTTTACAAGCCAAGGAACACCAAAGAGTGCCAGAAAACCACCGGAAGTTAGGAGAACAGATTCTTCCTCACAGTCCTCAGAAGGAACCAAGCCCACAGACTTCTTGATCTCAGATCCTAGCCTCCAGAACTGTGAGGCATTACATTTCTGTTGTTTAAACAGCCAGTTTGTGGTATTTTGTTATAGCAAAACTTGAAAACTAATAAAGCCAGTAAGTGCATTTCCTTCTACAATCTTACAATTTAGTAGAAGGGATACAGGAGATATTCACTAACACTTAAGGCAGTGATGAGTGCATCACTTGTATAATCTAATTTATTTATCAGAACTTAGTACCATTAGCCCAGTTTTACAGATGAGAAGACAGAATAATTTCCCCCGAAGGAACTGCAACCACATCCCGCTTCAAGTTCTGTCTGGCTCTGCCTGTTTTGGGGTCTGTGATCTTTAACCACTATGCAAACTGCCTCCTGAACCACAGCATGATGTGAAATAGAAATGCCATGGAGAAAGGACTGAAATACAAGCAGCTGCAATGTTCTATTGCAAGGTAAGGAGGCTTTGCAGGGACTTTTTGAGGTGGACTTGCATGGCCTCAACATGGATTGTTCTTCCACACTCAGGAGGTGAACAAATACAAGTTGTAGCTGAGAAGGTATGCTTCTCACCCTTGAGAGCTGTACATAATGGATTATTTTATTTATCAGGTATTCTACAACCACATTCTGTTCTAATTTTCATTCTGGAATCCACTGCTTTGAGACCTGGCCGGCAATGCTTAATATGAAGTGTTAATTCCCCCAGCCAGAAAGATTCACAGCTTAGGTGAGAGCAGCACCCTAAAGGAAGTATTTGATCTTGTTCCAGGCTGGAGTCCACCACTTGCTGGCCCCTGGGTTTTATCCAATTCATAGGAACTCTCTGAGCCCCCATTTCTCATCTGCTGGAGTGGGATAATAATCCTTCCTTAAAACACGTTGTTGTAAGAATAACTAAGTAAAATAACCAATACAAAATTGCTTTTTAAACCATCAAGGTCATTGGGAACATACTTAAGCATAAATCTTCAAAACAAACATTGCCTTAGAGTCTAACAAATATTGACTGAGCACTTACTATGTGCCAGGTGCTGGGCACACACCAGGGAACAAGACAGACAAAATAATCTCTGTGCTCATGGAGCTTCCATTCCAGTGGAGAGAAACCAAAAACAAATAAAAAAACAAAATATATACTGTGTCAGACAAATGCTATGGGGGAAAATACAAAATAGGAAAGAGAGATTAGGCATTCTGGTCAAGAGTGGGAGAGTCTCAATTTAAAACAGAGTGAAAAGGTCCACCAAGGCCACAATGAGGTGACATGTGAGCAAAAACTTAATGGAGTTAAGGGAGTGAGTTGTGTGAAGACCTTGGAGGAAATAAGACTAATAACAAATAGATTCTTGCTTCTCAATCCATGGACGTGAGGGGAGTAATGGATCAAGGTCTGGATTCACTGATAATTAGTTATACTGACTATAGATAATAATTGTGCATTTATTAGAGCCATCTAGTTTGAGCACTTAAATCTTCTAGTTCTTAAAACTGAAAGTAGTTTTACCAAATGACTTTGAATTAGTCAGCTTAAATAGTAACAAGTTCTCATCTTTCACAGCTATAAGGGTGTTTATTTTAAACATTAATTCTCAGAAGAGTCAAAAAAGAAACACCATGACCAAAAATGCCACTACGAGCTTATTGGAAAAATATTATTCTGTGAAGGGCTTGGCTATAAAAAGGACTAGGTTTGTGATACAATGTCTAGGTTTATGCATAGAAGCATGTGAGGAAATAGCAGGTTATCTAATTCCTTGAATGGAAAATGCTTCCCCAGAGAATATGTTTTTGATCGGTCTAAAAAAACACTCACAACAAATATGTATTGTGTTTATAGTATGTACAAAGTCCCATAATGAGAAACTGTGAAAAACAGAGAAATTTAAAAAATAGTACCTGCCCTTTTAAAGTGTCTACAAACCAGTTGTAGGTATTAATTTTTAGTGGTCACAGAATTCTTTGTCTATCAGCCTTTTAAAGACATAAAGTAAGTGTTTTGGTGGATTTGCAAAGGAAATAAAACACAAGAGACTGGTTTGTTTCTCTGCATACTGATATGTTTGCCTTGCTCAGCAAAGAGAGTATATTTTTCTTTAAAACTCTGGTTTCCTTTCTGGTGCAGTTGGAATTACTTCTGTTGAAACCATTTTCAAAACAGTTAAATAACTTTAAAGAAAAGGATTTATGTAGACCTGCTACAGACTACTGATATATGAGTTGTGCCACTACTTCATACCCAGTTACGTTTCCTTTGAGATTGGAGGGAATAAAATTACCACCCATGTATGGCTTCCCTTATCCAGGTCCACACAAGAAATTAAACTAGTGGCAGAAGTTAATTACCTGTCAATCCAAGGGGCTAATTTCTAAACAATGGCATCTTTTAGATACATTATTTTATTTAATACCCATATTCTGCTGTCTCCAGTTGCCACATTCATTCCTCCTGGTTGGAAAAATCTTTGGTAACCACTGTCTTCCTCCCTTAAGATTTTCAGAGGTCTAAGAATGAGTAACTACATATTATGCAGCAATCACAGATAACACACTCAGCACGAGGCTCGACCCTTTGCCTGAGCTCCAGAAGAGTTCGTTTCCTCCACTAGTCCATGGCTCTGAATGAAGCCGACGTAGACAGTTTTAGTATGCAGCAGTCCTCTGCTCGCTGACTTGTTTTGATAGCCTTACAAATGTGAGGTATTTGAAGGGGAGTGCAGTGGAACATTTGTCAGTGTTTGGCAATACAGTATAATGCAAAACCCCTTTCTGTCTGGGGCATATTCCCTTTGCAGCAATCCGGATTGGTGATATGCTGGATCCTACTTTCCTCTCTCGAAGCCCAGGGGGAAAGAGTTTCCTGCTGTTCATCTCCTGGTGGCCAGGGCACAGACAGGATCTGGGGAGTCAGACTGGTCGCTCCTAACTCAGGCTTTGTCTTTGGATCCTTGGAGTCAGAGCTGAGAAAAAAGTTAGGATTCATTTTGGAGGAAAACGCAGTAGCAGCAGTGACGCCCAACATCCTGGCAAGATTGTTCCAGAGGCCCAGTGTTCCAGAGCTCCCTCGGTCCCCACGCTTTTTCAAACCTGTTCCTTCTGCCTCCTGTTGATTCTGTGAGTACCAGATTTCCTTCCAATAAATCCCACTAGAGGCGTTGTCAGCACCAGATTTCCTTCCAGTAAGTCCCACCAGAGATGATGCCTGCTGCATGCAACCAGAACCCTCAACGACACAAGGCGACCCTCTGTGAAGAGAGGGGTTTGTGTTTTACGAGTCCACTGGGTTCTTGCTTTCCTCAGCCCTCTTAGGGCTTGCAAAACTTTGGGATAAGAGGATCTGAGCTCCTGCCAGAGCCCTTGATGCTCTGCTCCTGACATTTCATGAGAGGACTGTGGCTCCTCCATCTGCCACCTCAGGAAGACCGCTAAGGCTGGCTCGGGTGGAGAGTGAAGGCAGGGAGTGGACAGGACCATTTCACTCCATCCTTCTCAGCTCCAAAGGGCATCCTCCTGCTGCCCATAGCAGAAGGCACAAAGCAATTACCACTTTGACTTTGAATTGAATGGGCCAATGACTGCAAGATGCACAATTATTTTATATACCACTGAGAAAGACGATTACTGCTATTAAACTATAACACATCATCAATTTTAATGTGAAAATTGTGAATGTTAGAAATGATCAAATACGTTGTGGCTTATGAAATGAATAGAAACAAGCTTCCAAGATGTAAACTGGCAAGGACACAGAGGCAATTCTAAATCAAGCTTACTAGTATACTATTATTGGAGAATAGACTTGGAGAGATATAAAGACCTGAGTTTTTCTGTTTTGTTTTGTTTGTTTGTTTTTTTGGATATGTTCTTTTCAACTTAAGAACAAATGCCCTGGCCACTTTTATATAATTCCATGTATGGATATTCAGATGGTGATTCTTCTTATAACATATTTTTAAATTTTTAATAGAAAAAGGCTTAACCCCTTCAAGTTCTATTAAAGTTTTAAAAAATATATTGGAAGATATTCTTTGCAGTTCTGGCTTTGGTTTCATCTTTTTGCGTAATGCCTTTTGTCTCATTTTATCTTTTCTAATATTATATGCTCACTCTGGTTAGCTCTTACACCTGTATCTTCCACTATCACCTATAAGTTGATTTCTCCAGCCAAGATATCCCTTCTAGGTTCCAGACTCTGTAGTGGACATTACAACGTGATCATCTCAGGGGCACCTCACACCTGACATGTCCACAGCAGAGCTCTGACCTGCTTAATGGTGCCACTGTTCATATGGAATCCCAGCTGGATACCTGAGCACTGCCCTCAATTCCCCTTTTCCATCAGGGACTAGTAAGAGGGGGGTCTCAGTCCTGTCAATTCCACCTCCAGCATCTGTCTTGAATCTGCCTGTCTTTACAGCCTTTATGATGCAACTCCAGCAGCTTTAACTCTTCCTCTGAAACAGATTTGTGAATCCCCTCCATTATTCTGCCACCCACCTTGTAAATATCTCTACAATAACACATCTCATACCGTGTAAAATTAGTTTTTTGCATCTATCTCTACAACCAGAGTAAATGTCCCTCAAAGACCTACTCTTCTTAATATTATCAACGTTAAGTACAGAGACTGGTAATATGAAAACAGGAGACTGTTCTGGAAATTACTAATGGTACTACATCACGTAGGGCCTTGAATGGCAGAACAAGAAGTGTGGACTTCTTCCTAGAGATCAGTAGCCCACTTTAAATAAATATTAATCACATTCAGTCCATAAATATTATTAACAATTTCAAAAGAAATCCAAGGCACTGCTGATGCTAGATATGGCTTTTAAAGCCACACTTCTCTCTTCCCCAGCACACCCTTTGTGCAGATTCGGATATATCTCTCTGGGGATGGCTTGACCCTCAATGAAAATCACTGCTGTCAATCTACCCTGCAGAGAAACTGGAGGTTTTAAAAAACACAAGAGTCAAATTCTGATTTTGTTTAAGGATATGGCAGCAACGTGGAGGCTGCAGGAGGGTGGCAAGACTAAAGCCAGGGCACAGTAAGAAGGTAGGCCATAGCCATAGTCCAAGCAGCAGTTGAGAACCTGACTTTGGTCGGCGCAGTTGCCAGCGGGTGTGATGAATCAGACTGTGAATTTAGACATGTATTTGTATAGCAGACAGTGAGGGCTCTCGCACATAACTCACTCAAGCCACCCTATCCTTGGACCAACTTTGGATACAGCTTGCCAACTTCGCCGGGAGTCCAGAGAGAGCCACCCTCCCAATATGTATCACAGCAGCCAAGATAAAGTATAACATGCACCACTGAATGCTTACACAAACCAAGGTGAGCGCCTCTACGCTTTAAAAATATGCAGGAAAGACATATTTTGTGGGATTTTCAGTAAGCACTTTGTTAAATATACTACATGCTAATATTGAAAAAACCTTCACTTTCTGGTCTAGAAACATCTGGCCAGAGTAAAGAAAACATACATTTCTCATCGTACAGAGCACTCCTGTTAACACTCTAGGCCACATCAGATCTCTCCTAAGGCTCTAACATGACAGTACTTGGAAAGTTTACTTCCTGAAGGAATGTCACCCAAGGCATTGCAAATGGGAGGAAATGAAAGAAAATATTCAAAATGAGAGGGGAAGTCAGAGAATAGTACTGTTTAAGCAGCTGTTTCTGAAACTTGTAAGAGCACTGATATGTAATATATGCATAGTAAATATGTATTGAATTGAGTTGATGTGGATCAGTCAGCTTGCATGGAAGGACAGAGATGAGGAAGAGAACAAGGACCTTCTCAGAGATACTCAGGTGGGAGTCTGTGGATACCTTCAGCAGTTTGATGTTTGGAGACAAGGAGGCTTGACTGATCGGTGTTTCCATGCATTTTTCTTCCTAAAAACCTTTAATGGCTCCCTATTTCCTAGATTAGCTCAGCATTTAAGACCCACTACCATCTGACCCTAACTTAATTCTCCAGTATTGCTCAGAGCAGAGCAGCCTTTGACTCAATTGTGTGTAAAATAGGCCAAGTTTGTTGTCAGAACCCACCCCTCCACCATCTTCCTTATCTTCAGTCTTAGATCTTTCAGGCCCTTGTTATCCAAGATTTCTCAGAAAGTCATGGATTCTTTAGCCACTGAAGAGAATAGTTGGATGAACTAACTCAAACTGATAGACTACATAATGATAATCCAAATAAATTAACCTGTAATGGCAAATTGCAGATTTTATGGGATGTGGGAAGGTGAGATACTTTGAAAGAGCACAGCCACTTCTCAAGTTAGTTCTCTTCTCTACATTCTCGTAAGCAGGGCCATCCCATTGCACAACTCCAGAAAGCAGCATTGCCATTATGGCCTATGTGAATAGAGCCTCCTTGAGGCGTGTAAGACACAGCCTTTATGGCCATCCTTGGCAGCCCTATATGTGTAGCTGTCCACATATGCATGCACATGCCTACACACACACACACACACACACACACACACACACACACACACACACAGAGCAAAAAATTCAGAACAATTGAAGATGCAATTCTTGGCTGCTTGGAAAATAAGGAGGGACTCCTCTGTTTTTCAGACTCAAATCCCTTCTGCTATCTACTTCCGCTTTTAGACAATTCCATTCTCTATTCTTCTGCTTTCTCTATTAAGTCTTCCCAATGTGCAAATCTGCAGTTTCCTTTGGTGGGAACCTTGCTTGTGAAAAAGAAAATCAGAGTCACAGAGATAGAGATGTCATGATATTTAACTTTTAGGAGTGACTGTAGATCTGTCCCAAAGGAAGGCAGACACTCAAGGTCTTCACATACTAGAATTGTTATTGTGTTATGTTAACTAGTTTAAAAAAGAGTAAAATAAATAGAAACCATTTAGAAGCACTATTTTCGCTGTAAGGAAATTGTTCCTAAGGACAGAGTGGTACCTTCCATACCTAAGAGTCATCATCTCTGACTATTAATGTTAGAGCTGTTGTCACATCAATCACTGCATATATAGGTCATCCCACTAATATTAGTACATGTTCTCTAGCATTCCTTTTATTAACAGGATCAAATATTGTTAATTCTATCTCTTTGTATACCCTTCTTTTGCACATCTCCCTTTATTCTCTCCATTTCCCACCTCCTTTTTTTTTTTCGGTTAAGGCCACCTTGGCTTTTTATGCAGCACCTGGTCATTGTTCCCTACCTCTAACCTCTTTCCACGCCTACTCTTGCTACAAACAACACTGTCTGATCAATCCTCTTCAAACAACTTGTTCATATCAATTTCCTGGTGGAAACATTTGATAGTTTCTATGACATGCAGACTAAAAGCTGAGTTCCTTGGCCTAGTCTTCAAGTCCTCTAAGGTCTGGCCCCAATATGTGCTTCCTGTTTAAATGTCCTCTACTGTGTTCACCCCCGCACAAGCATGCACATACACACATGCATACTCCAGTCTGCCTGCACTAACACAGTATCTGCTGCACACAGTTCCACATTCCATCTGTACCTTGGTTCATGCTTCCCCTCAGTCAGACTCCCTTCTTCTTTTCCTGTTACAAAATATGAGCACCTACTATGTGCTGGGTATATTCTACGTATTGGAGATGCAGCAGTGAACAAAACAGGTAAAAATTCCTGCCCTCATGGAGCTGGCATTCTAGCAGCAAGATGGAGAATAAACAAGATAAACAGTTGAAGTATATGGCAGGTTAGAGAGCTGCAATCACTAACAACAAAAACACAGTAGTAGGTGTCACAATTTTACACAGAGAGCAAGGGAGGTCCTTACTGAGAGGTGGCATTTGGCAATACACTCAAGGAAGTGAGGGATCAGGTCTTATGGACCCCTGTGGGAGAGCAACCTAGGCAAAGGAAACAAAAGCACAAGGGTAAGAGTGCACCTGGAGTGTCCAAGGCCTCCAATACTTTCTGATCTTCCCTACATGTAAATCCAGCTACACTGATGACCTGATTCTAAGAACCCCCCAGTTCCCCAAATTGTTCCTGCTCTACCTGTTGGCGGGATTTCTTCTTCCTTTAACCTCTCATAGCACTTCAGTTGGGTATTTCCTACAACCTTTTGTTCATCCAATCAAAGAACTATTATGTTTAAGATTATGGCATTTATCATTCTCTAGCTATGATATATAAATTGTAAGTAGAACATAATTCTGTATATTTATGAGTTTTTTCCTCCCAAATTCTTGGGAGTAGGCTCCATTAATTATTCATATCTGTATGCCCCAATGTGGGTGTCTAGTAAATATTTTTACTGTTTTAAATTTTAATAATTTCTAATTTCCCCAGTAGTTCTAAAAAGGACGTTTTCTCAGTGGTTTCCCCAATGTTTCAGTTGGATCATGAATCTCCTCACTCAGCATCAAAGTGTTTTCCTTTCCTTGATCACTAAGCCCCACCACCACTGACAGCAACTCTTGTCTACACTCACCCCGTGCCTCCCTGCACCCACTATGAGGTTCACGGTCCTTTCTTGTTTGTTTCCTGTCCTAGTCACCGGTCACCAGGTACTTACTGACCACATATTGTGTGGTAAGATGTATTCCAGGCACTATGGAAAAACAGTAGCTATTGATTTATTGAATCCTTCATGTCTATCAGTCTATTCACTCCTCATAATAACTCACTGAGGCAAACATGATGAGCTTTCTCTATGTATGAGAAAACCGAGGCTTTAGAAAGGGAAGATGCTTCCACTAAGGTGAATGAGCTACACGCAGCAGTAGAGTCAAGAGTCAAACCCATGTTTTTCCAACTCCCAAACCATTTCTACAGCTAAACAGTACCGAACAGTATGAAGAGAAAAGGGGAACTGTAATCTACATTTGTGGTTTTGGCCATCCAGAACCACCACCCCACTTCTTGGGATAACAGGCCCTCTATTATTCTTTGGTGGACACATTCTCCCTCTCTCCTCTAAGTAAATACTACTTAAGATTTAGAGGAAGACTTTGTATCTGAGGCAAAGATTAATGAGACTATTTTTCTTTGTACTATCAGTAAAATGACCATATACATCTACCATAAATTGGGACACTTCTGAGAGAGAATGGAGGTACAATTAATAATCAAGCTGCAATGACAGATGTGAATAAAGAGTGCCTGGGAAAACCAGACCTATGGTCATCCTGTCCATCAGTCCACCTCCTTTGGACTAGGTGACTGTCTTGGGAAATTCTGGATGTATCTCCTATTATAGAAGTAGACTCCTCTTTTCTATTGGACTGGGTGACTGTTCCAGCTAAACCAGAACACATGGTCACCCATCAGGAAAGTGAACTCCTCTCCTCTACTGGATTGGGTGTTGTATTGCTGTGGAACTGAAGCTGCCATGGCTCACCACATGGAACATGAAAAAGAAGGAATAGATAAAGCAGGGCTAAGAGATGGGATCATGATAGCAACTTGGAACCTAAATTGAGCAGTAGCTGAAGCTAGCATGACCCTAGTGCCTAGGGCCAATTTTTATTTATAAAAGCCAACAAACTTTCTTTTGGCATAAGTAATTTTGGGTTGATTCCTCAGTCACTTGCAATCAAAAATGTGTGAGTGGCCAAGAACTAACAATGACTGAGTATCTTCTTTGTTATTTTTTTCTTGATAATCCCTTTCAGCAAGCCCACCATCCTGCAAGGTATGTGGGGTTAAATACATGAGTTGCCATATTGCTCGAGTTCAAATCCTGCAAGTGCTAGCATTTTCACATTTCTACAATTTAGAAATAATCATGGGTTATTTACTTAACCCTTGCCCCTCAGTTTCCTCTGCTGTAAATAACAGAATTACTCTCCTTGGATAATGGCAATACTTTAAACACTTTATACATTTAAAACATTTTGTTATTATTGATGACAAAATTGAGGCTCAAAGAGGTTATATACGTTGCTCAGACAACTACTAAATTACAAAGGCAGATTTTTGAACTCCAGTTTTTGAAGCTCCACATTCCATTCTGTTTCAACTGTGTCCACACTGGTGCCAGACTGCCTGAACTAGGCTGTGAAGGATGAAGATATATTAATGGGTTTGGAGGTGAAAGTAAGCACGTCCAGTGGAAAGGAAAAGTTGTGGAAGTTGCAACAATATTTGGAGCACAGTTGAAAACAAAGCTGCTAGCTGTATCCTGTCAAACTGACTCCAGCTTCTTTTTCCTTGCCTATTCCAGTTTCAGTTGTCTATTATAGTTTCAACATGGCCAGTCAGCTGCTTCACAATCCATGTGTACGTGTAGCCATCCTCTCATCTACTGCATGGAGTCTTCCTTGGAGAGTTTTGTGTTCCCCAGCACAAGACCACGCCATGTGTCCAGCTCTATCTCATAATGCATGGGCTACCACTCTTTGGTTTGCTGACTCTACTTCAATCAAGCTAACTTCTTGGACATTTATTGATGTTGTCAAGAACTCACACCTCACAGCTTTTGCATTGGTATTCCCTGTACCTGGAATACTCTTTATCCAAATATTCATCTTTCTCCATGATGTCTTTAGGGTCCTTATTCAAATGTCACATCATCTGTGAGGCCTCCCCTCTTCCAACCCCAGTTAATATAGCAACATACCACCATCCATTGTGCCCTGGCACATGGCACTTGTTTTCCCTTCACCTTCACTTGTTTTTTAATTGCATAGTACTGACTACTATCTGACCTTCTACATTTATTTATGCATGTATTTATTGTCTGTTCATATTTTAGTGGTGGGAATTGAATGAGAATTCTAGACCCACTAGAATGAGAATTCCACAATAGCAAAGACTGTCTCTCTTCTTTGCCATATGCCTAGGAAAGGGCTGGGCATATGGGAGATGGCAATGAATGTTTGTTGGGTGATAACATGACTGCACAGGAGAATATCAAGGCAGCTGCTGTATCAAACTCTCCCCTCTCATCAATTCTATAGGCCAGCAGAGCAATGGCAGATTCTATGATGGAAATCAGGACATCCCCCTGCCTCATGCCCACCACCAACTTTGTCATAGATGCTTACAACCACACAGATCTGGTTCTTTGAAGTGGGAATTATCTATCTCTTTAGAATTCTTGTTCTCTAGAAAATGGAAATAAGATCTTCGGAGTGCTTTTTGCTGACTCCCATTTCACCATTTTCTCATTCTAGTGTCCAATTCCCAGCCCAGGGAGAACTGATATATTTTCCATCTGGGAATTCATCAAAATTCATCACAGTCAGATTCTCAAGGAAGATCATTAGCACATTTGTTTGCTTTTATCCTGGCATTAACAACTCTATTTGAGGCTAAATTATTTCCCCTGGTTTCAACGTCAAGTTTTCCCATTGGCTCAAATATGAAGTCTCTTGTCTGTCAGTGTAATAATTTTCTATTAATTATAAAAGAAGAAAGCTAGTAGTTTGAGAGTCTTAAGGGAAGCATTTGTCTAATCCAAGAAACTGATTTTCCAGTTACTTGGACTAAGTACAACTCTCAGTTGTGGTCAGATTTCAAAGTATCCCTTGTTTTTGCTTTCTGGTCAGTCTAGACAGACATGGTTCTTTCCTTCGTTTTTCAAGCTGTTGAAACATCAGGTTGGTCAAAAGAATCTGAATCTCTAGAGAATAAACTGAGCAGCATTTCACCAGAGAGTTCATAACTTTCTACTGACAATCCCTCCAAATAGTGAGCAATCCTCCCAACCTCAGTGGTGCTAGGAGAGATTTCACTTCAAAGGCTCAGTGTGAGTGTGAGAATGAAACTGTGGCAACAAAATAATGACCACTATTGTCCTATTCAGAATGGAAAATAGTCTAGTGGTTAGAGCATGCAGTCATGAATTTTTTGCCTGTTCTCAGTCATTTCAGTTTCATGCTGGGTGTCCTCAATCCAACCTAAATTGCCCCCTTTAACAATAATTCTTCTATTCATTATAATTGAACACATGTTCTTCAAAACGCGGTATATTGAAGGCATAGGCTAAACTTTATGATGGCCACACAAATGAATCAAGAAAAAAGCTTGAAGCCAAAGAATTTGGCATTCATGCAGGGAAACGACAAATGTATGTAAATATCTACATCAGAAGAGAGAATGCCTGGAGATGTGCTCTGAAAATTAAATAGGGGTGAGGTTAACAAGTGGTGGAGATAGGACAAGGGCAGAGGGAAGAAAGGGAAGTGGATTTTTTATGGAGTTCAATTCGAGTTGGATTTTGAAGAATGGTGGGACCTAAATAAGGACGTAGAGAGGAGAATGCAGAGTTTCATTTCAGGAAGAGAAAGAAGCATGTACAAATATATAGCAGTGCAAAGATGTAAACAGTGAATGGCAGGTAGATCAGAGAGGAAATAATGGAAGGCCTGAAATGCCAAGATAAATACCAAGTTAAATAGAGTCATTCACATTTGCTATTTGATCCACTCAACTCTGTTGAGAAGCAGCATTATAAGTCAATAGTGTTTCAACTGATGTCAAAAGAGGGTTCTAAGGATTCCTGGGTAATTAGTAGTGCCATGACCCAGGAGGATAGTTTCCCATCACACATTTTGTAGTAGGTAAATTATCTACCTATTTTTTTCCCCAGAGACAGCACAGGAAAGTATGGTCTTATTCACTACATTTTGTTATGTGGCATGTAAACAATAAGTTCTTCAGCTTCTTTAAGATCTACTTTATTACCTGTAAATGAGGGATGCTAATTTCTGTGCTCCTTACATAACAGAATTGTTGTGTGAAACAATGAGATAATGGATACAGAGCTGCTTTGTCAGGGTAAAAGGCTATAACGTGTTAGTTATTAAGGCAGGGTAATTGTGATAATAATTACTGCTTCTTGGTGTCCAGTGGCCCACCCAGCCACAAAAATGTGCAAGGTAGGAAGAAAGTTATGCAATAGGAAAGAGAAGGAAGGTATTTCAGTTAATAATAATCACAGAAACAAAGGGCTAGAAAGACCCACAGAAGCAGCTATTATTTAGTTGCAATAGGATTTGGGAATGAGGAGCATAAAGCATCTAAACATAGTTCAAACAACAAAATATGAAATAAGGTTCCAAGTTGTGTGAGACAGTCTCCTAGACCTGTTGAGACTAGAAAGAGGGTGTAAGCTATGGGTCATCAGAATGGGCAGTCAGATGGAGCTGGGCTTGCTGCAAGCATGAGCTTAGCTTTAAGGGCAGGTAAGGGTAGGATGGGCAGAGTAAAGGGCATTCCTAGCTACATCCTTTAGGTTAGATGCTCTGGTCTCCCATCACGCTTCTCTCTTTAAAGGCCAATAAACATAGTGAATAAAATTGAGTACTGAATTTTCTCTCTACTCTCAGCTCTCAGACCAATGTCTGGCCCCAAAACAGACTGCTTACTTGTGGGTTCAGCCAACCTGGGCACATCATGAAGGAGGGTGTGAAGTCAGGAGAGAGTCAGCACACATTCAAGGTCAAGGGAAGACAAACCATGTGGAGAGGGAGCAAGGGAAGGAAAGGCAGGAAGCTAGATGGAAGCATGGAAGCTAGGCTAAGGCCTTCAGTTTTGATGGCGCAGTGAGAGCAAGGAAACAACTACATTTAAAATAAGTATGCTCTGGTAGCTATATTCCCAACAGGCTACAGCTTTAGCCCTGGCCATAATGCAGTCTTCAGGTGGATGGACAGAGGAGAAAGGAAACAGAACCAGATTCGTGTTTTCTACCATATGTGCCAACCTCATCCTCTGTCCCTGGCCACTGTTTGAACCTTCAAGGTTTCAAAATATTACCTCCTACTATACAGGGAGGATTTGTATTCAACTTCTGCCATTCTATATTGTTCCCAGTGCCTTCACATAAATGCAGAATCATGAAAACAAATAGCTGAAAAAAATCCAGAGAGATGGCTATGGAAGTTATTGTCATGAGATGGAAGGATCAAGTGTGCAAACCACATAGCATGTTGTTCAGCAAATTAAATAAAAAACTAGGTAAGTGGAAATTATTATTTTCTTCTTCTTTTCTCCATCCTCCTTCTTAATTACCTTGGTTAGTTTTTTCACTGAATGGATGAGCCATTGCCATCCATGAAGTTGAAGGGCCCCTAAACTTGCACAGCCAGCTGATGGAAGAGCTCAGATTAGAAATCAGACCTGCTGACTCTCTCTCCAGTGCTCTCTCCACTACCCATGCTGTGGTAGTAATATTGTCATAGAGACCAAGAGAAGCCCCAATTCCAATGAGATTTGAAGGAGAAATATGTCTAGGCAGAGGATTACCTGACACACTCTCAGCCATCTTCACCTGTCGAGCATGCTACTACCTCATTTACTTATTCCCCTTCTAATCCAAATTTTTCTGTTTGCATGACATCATTAGATTATACAAAGTTATTAAAGCTACCCTGTGGCTTCCAGCCAAGCCACTGTGACCCATCAAATCCTCACTTCTAGAGCCCATGCTTGGCGGAGACGTTTACAAGCATAACTATGCACCATTAAAACTTGAAGATTCTTTCTTGGAAAGGCTAATTAAACCAAATCACTCAAACAGGTCTAGACGATGCTGAACAGGGTTTATTATCTGGATTGGTGCCTGCTCTGGTCCCACAGGCTTGGCTGCTTGTATTCATCTGCAAAGGAGCTTCCTTACCTGCTCTGCACGGTATCAACTATTGTCCTTTTAAGGAGGAGTCAAACTTTCTGGATCCACATTATCTGCAGCTGTGAGGCCAACCGAGTGAAAGGATATTCCATGCTGACATACTTGAAACACCTCAAGTTTCTATCACTCTTTTCCTTCTCTTTTACTCGGAAGTAGACAAATCAAGTTTGTCAACTAAGTGTTCTATACACTAGGAGGAAAACAAGAAAAAGAAGGCTGGTGGGTCTTTCTGGCCATTGCCTTCCTACACTGGTAGGTCATCCCTGTCTGTTGATGTCAGCATTCTGAAATAAAAATTGGGACATGCCATCTCCCTGCTTAAAATTCCAGCATTTGGCCGGGCGTGGTGGCTCAAGCCTGTAATCCCAGCACTTTGGGAGGCTGAGGCAGGTGGATCATTTAAGATTAGGAGTTTGAGACCAGCCTATCCAACAAGATGAAACTCCATCTCTACTAAAAATACAAAAATTAGCCAGGAGTGGTGGTGTCCGCCTGTAATCCCAGCTACTCGGGAGGCTGAGGCAGTTGAATAGCTTAAACCCAGGAGGCGGAGGTTGCAGTGAGCTGAAATAGCACCACTGCACTCTAGCCTAGGTGACTAGAGCAAAACTCCGTCTCAAAAAAACAAAACAAAAACATTCCAGCATTTTCTCATTTCACAAAAAACATAAAGGCCAAAGTCCCTAGCTTACAATATATGATCTCCTGTGATCTAACCTTTGCCTAGTTTTTTATCCTTACACTGCACAAGTCCGCTTAGGGGAATCTATATTTCAACCATTTAATCTACATGCAATTGCCCCAAGGAGGTAGTGTATTAAAATGGTTAGGAATATCAACTTTGCAGTTGGACTTCCTGGGCTCGGGGATGCTGCTAACTTGGCTAACATGTGTTAAGGACTTACTAGGTGTTAAGCATTGTTCTTCTCAATGATTCTCTCATTGAATTCTTATAATAATATATGAGTAAGTTCTATTAATAGCACCATTTAACAGGTGAGGAAATCAAGGCTTAGCAAAGTTAAATGAGTCCAAGAAAGTTCATGTAGTTGTAAAGAATAGAACCGGTATGTAAACCCAGGTCTAATTTAATTTTACAATTGAAGGTTTTAACTACTCCACCATACTGTCTCATTGTTCTCTTCCCCAAACTAATCTTCTTCCTGGATCCTAACTTTGGGATTGAGAACCAGTCACTGTCATCTAAGCTAGAATCCTGGGATCTGTCAGAAATGTCTCCTCTATGTCAAGTCACCACATTCAATCAGTTTATAGATTTGACCTTCTTAATCTCTGAAAGATTTCCTTCCCCGTTCTCCTCCTTAACCTACTGACATGGCCTTGATTTAGGTCTTTGTCAATTATCACATGAATTACTGCTGCTGCCTCCTAGCTTGCTGGTCTGAACCCTTCCAATGTTGCTGGAAGAAGTTGCTAAAAGGCCCTGTTGTGCCCCTGCTAAAATTCTGCCATTGCATCTCCACTGTGCCTTCAGGCTCAGAACCCAAAGCTTTGCAAGATCTGCCCCTCACTCCCTACCCCAGCCCCACATGACGCCTTCACTCAAGCATTCATAGCCTCTCACAGATCTCCACATTGTGCCACTTCCTTCCTCTGAGCCTTGGTACCCACTGCTCCGTCTACCTGCAGTGCCCTTGATTTTGCTTCTTTATTCACTTAACTCCTATTCATCCTTCAAAGCATAGCTTCAAGTTTACCTCCCCAGAACATTTACCCTGACCCCTCAGTTTGATTTAGCTGCTTCTCCTCTATGTAGACCAGCCCACCCATTTGTCATTTGTATGCCAAATGATAGCATTCGCTATGCTTAAAACTCCTCAAGGGCCATAATCGTGTTTTATTTCTTCCTTCCTGGTCAAATGCCTGGAAAATAGTAGATACTCAATTTCTGCACATGGAATTAACAGACAAGTTCATTAAGGCATATTTTGGGACAGAATCAATGTCAACTTTTTGTCAATGTATTCTGAATATGATTTATCTTCAGATTCTCTACAAGGCAAAAATTTGTCAATTAGCTTAGAAAATTCATGTTTAGAGATACAATTTTTGATTGATTTGTTTAGAACTCAACTGAGTGTCTCAAACAAGTGGGTGCTTAAACATACTTTTTGGTTACAACATAAAGTATACATTTCCTTTTCTTTTCTTTTTTTTTAAGAGATTGGGTCTCACTCTGTCACCCAGGCCAGAGTATAGTGGCATGACCACAGCTCACTGCAGCCTTGATCTCCTGGGCTCAAGCCATCCTTCTTCTTTAGCTTTCCGGGCCAATGTTTTAAAAAAAACATTTGTAGAGACAGAGTCTCACTGTGTTGCCCAGGCTGGTCTTGAACTCTTGACTTCAAATGATCCTCCTGCCTCAGCCTCTTAAAACGCTAGGAGTACACTTGTGAGCTATTGCATCTGGCTGTAAAGCATACCTTTCTTAATCATTTACCTTTCTTAATCATATAATTTTCTTAATCATAGAAGAAAGTTACTAGATTTTTCTGAGAAATAATGGCACATCTAGAATCCTTTGAGAGTCTTTCTATGGTTCTGGTTCTCAACCAGACATTTGGCAATGTTCAATCTGGAGATGTTCTGGTTGTCACATCTGTAGGTGGTTGCTACTGGTATCTCATGGGTAGAGGCCAGAGATGCTGCTAAATATCCTACAATGCACAGGACAGCTCTGGCAGCAAAGGCTTAACCAGCCCAAAATACCAATAATGCCAAGATTAGGAAACTCTGACCTATGACATATAGAACCACTCACTCACTGAAGACATACACCTGCAATTGTGACGAGCTGGATAACACCCAGCCTATACTTTCTCCCAGTGAAGGCTCTCGTGAGTGGTGGTATTTCCTGTGAGTTTAAATGTGGCTTAAAGATCAAAGCCAGAAGGACAAGTTCTGTGATCCTGGGGATGGAGCTCTTCACCCCTTTCAGAGCCTACTCCCGGGTGTGTCCTTTCTTATAAATCCCACAATCAGCAAACACTTTCCTGCTGCAGATGTGCTTCCTGGCTCCGACTGCTCCTCCCAACAAAGGCTTCAGGCTGCAGGAGTCACTTCCCCAATCCTGACATCTCCAGTTCATGCAAGATCATGGGCTGCAAGAGCACCTGCATGTCTATAGGGCCAGAAATTCCTCCTTCTTCTGATGGATGGGAGCCCAATCAAGAACTTCTCAGACAAGACCAAGGGAGTGGGAGCTTCTGGAGGACGAACAACTCTGAAATCCTGCATTGATGAGCAAACAGCAGCAGCAGCAGCAGGAGGAGGAGGAGGGGATAAAGATCTTGGACAATGTATTCATTTTAGGGAGGGGGATATTGACTTTAGGGGCAGTTTTGTGATACAAATAAATGGAGGGTTGGGGTGGGGTGGAGGAAGAAGATTGTTCTGAAATTCACTTTCCAAATGCCAGGTTTACAAAAATGCCACTGATACTGAATTTCTAAGCAGCAACTCACAACTTCCTCTGACAGAGAGATGTCTTACAGAAAGTTCCAATGAGTGCTGGGGAATTTCTGGTAGTAATATTTCACATAAGGAATATTTTAGCCTCATTTCATAGTGAAGTATTTTACAATCATTTATTCATTATATTGCCCCTATTGCAAACCAAGATTATGTTTTTAGAGCTAAGAAATATCAATAATTTGGAATCAGAGTTTCCTGATTATTCAACAAGCCATTGACCAAGCTGAAGTTTAAACTCAGCATGTCCAGGGCTACACAACTACCAGATGAAGCAAAATAATGATGTCAAAGCAGTGATTTGGTATCGTGTTAAATGAACTGAATGATGGACTTGATTATTAACTATGTTTTTAACTGCATCATGTAGTTCCAATAGCCAATTAAATGAAGACACATGCACACGTGTGTTTATTGCAGCACCACTCACAATAGCAAAGACTTGGAACCAACCCAAATGCCCATCAATGATAGACTGGATAAAGGAATTGTGGCACATATACACCATTGAATACTATGCAGCCATAAAAAAGAATGAGTTCATGTCATCTGCAGGGACATGGATGAAGCTGGAAACCATCATTCTTAGCAAACTAACACAGGAACAGAAAACCAAACACTGCATGTTCTCACTCATAAGTGGGAGCTGAACAATGAGAACATATGGACACAGGGAGGGGAACATCACACACTGGGGCCTGTCGGGGGTGGGGGGCAAGAGGAGGGATAGCATTAGGAGAAATAACTAATGTAGATGACCGGTTAATGGGTGCAGCAAACAGCCATGGCACATGTATACCTATGTAACAAACTTGCACATTCTGCACATGTATCCCAGAACTTAAAGTATAATAAAAAAAAAAAAAAAAGAGAAAAAAAGAAGGGTCTTATTGAGCACCTGTTGTGTAAGTCGAGGGAGATAGCAAAGGTGGCTAAGTACAGCCACCTTCTCTGCAGAGCTCTGAGTTTAGTCAGAGAAGCTAGCAAATAAGCACTTAATACTACGTATTATTTATGTAGCAACTCCACATACACGTGCCACATAGCCTCTGGTCTCTGTGGGCTGAGTGCATTGAAATGTGGCCAGGTACCCAGAGAAGAAACTGGAACATGGCTAGGAATACTCCTGTTATAGACTGTCAATCACATCACAGGGAAACCTCTTCTTTGTATGGAGATACAGTAAAGCATAACACTTTTCAATTCAAATACTGTAGTACTCTGCAAGTAGTAGCTACTTTTATAAGCTAAAGCACAAACCTTCCAAACTTAGCCAAGTGTAATAAACAAACACCATGTTACTCTCAGTAACAGGCACCTGTTCCTCCCACTCTGGTCAAAGATCCCTAAGATAAAGAATGTTACATAAAAGTGGAGCCAGATTTATAGGAAAGAGCACCTGGCATTAACATCCTTAACATGCATTAAGAGTGAATGAGAAAACTACTGTAGGCTATGTTCACAGTCATGTCAAGTAATTATACATTTAATATAGCTTTTTCCTGAATTGAGCTTTCGTTCCTTGCACGTAAGCTGGTCCTGTTTGAAATTTTTACGTGAGCTGGTTAATGTGTTTCCGAAAGTGAACATTTTCATACATCTTTGCTTCTCACCTCTCTGTGGTGAAGGGCAAGTTTATTTCTTGTTTTAAATTGCCACCACTTAGGAGGCTGGGTCAGGAGGATTGCTCGAGGCCAGGAGTTTGAAAACCAGCCTGGGCAACACAGCGAGACCCTGTCTCTAAAAATAATAAATAAAATAAATTAAAAATTAAAAATCAGCTAAGTGTGTAGTCCCAGCTAACTCCGGAGAGGTGGGAGAATTGCTTGCACCCAGGAGGTCAAGGCTGCAGCGAGCTACGACTGCATTTTTGTACTCCAGCATGGGTGACAGAGTGGGATCTTGTCTTTAAAAAAAAAAATTCATAAAATAAATCAAAATTTCCAATCTGTTGCAAATTGTTTTAAAAATTATTTTTTAATGGAAAAATGACAAAGTGTGTATTTTTATCGTGGGCAACATGGTATTTTCATACAAGTACATATTGTGGAATGACCAAACCAAGCTAATTCACATATCCATCACCTCACATACTTATCAAAACCAGCATGAATGCCTGGAAGTCACAGCAATGTTAAATCCCTATAAAAATTTGTAAAGGCTTACTCTTGATTTATTTGCTTCACTATAGACTGATAACTAATAGTTTGTGGACTGGACCCATTCCGGGGAGCACATGTTGCATAGCACTGACATATGATATTCAAAAGACATATTAAAAGAAGGCAAAAAAAGTCATTGTCCATATATCTTTTTTTTTTTTTTTTTTTTTTTGAGACAGAGTCTTGCTCTGTTGCCCAGGCTGGAGTGCAGTGGTGCGATCTCGGCTCACTGCAAGCTCCGCCTCCCGGGTTCACGCCATTCTCCTGCCTCAGCCTCCTGAGTAGCTGGGACTACAGGCGCCCGCCACCACGCCTGGCTAATTATTTTGTATTTTTTTAGTAGAGATGGGGTTTCACCGTGTTAGCCAGGATGATCTCAATCTCCTGACCTCGTGATCCGCCTGCCTCAGACTCCCAAAGTCCTGGGATTAAGGCGTGAGCCACCATGCCCGGCCCATTGTCCATACATCTTTAAACAAGAAGACATTTAACATAAAGTCAGAATATTAAAAATGGAAATGTCATTGAGTTTTAGCATTCAGCTTTTATTGCTTATGCCCTTAAATGCCTGATCATTGTAAAAGTGATGAGTGGCCAAAGACCAAGAGATTCTATAAGCACTGTCTACACCAGCACTGCCCAAGAGAACTTTCTGTGTCAATGGAAATGCTCCATGTTGTCCAATACAGTTGCATGAAGCACACGTGGCAACTGGGCACTTGAAGTGAGGCTAGCGTAAACTGAGGACCTGGGTTTGAAATTTTATTTGACCTTAATTGTCTTTAAATAGCCTCATGTGGCCAGTGGCTCCCATACTAGATAGTGTGGATCTAGCTAATTATGATAATAGCAGATTTTTAAATAACCAATTTTTAAAACCAGGTGACATGGGAAGTATTAAAACACGGAATTGCCTGTTTTGAGAATGACAATGCTTTTGAATCCACAAGGCCTATACTCCCTTTTCCCTAATATCCTTCCCTCCCTCAATATCCCGGCCCTACTGCTGCCTTGGAGTTCATGTTTTCTTTCAGCGTTCACAGGGCTGTTTCCAGAGCAGTGAATGACGACCGGAGAGCATGGGAACCCCTTTTCTTTGTAGCAGCCCATATTAATGAGATCTCTGTTTCTCTCAAGACAGTCAGGGCCGTCTGGTCAAAGTGTTGAACCAAGGTGTTTGTGCCTGCATAGAATTAAGTCACAAGTAAAGCACTTATTTCTGACAGCAGATTTATAATAGGAAAATCTCAGCAGGAATGAAGAGTTGGAGACCCCAGCCACAGGCTTTTCACAAACTTTGCCTTGATTTAGTGACTCAAACAACTAGCAAGAACGGCAAACTGCAGAGGTAATCCTATCATCTTTTCTCCAAGCAGCACTGTTCCATCTTCTCGGCTTCCTCACGCTGCTAACATGAATTCAAATCATCTGTGTTTAAAGTTAAACTCAGTGATTGACAGTTCTTTCTAGTTTCAGTCCACAATGAAGATTATTCTAGATATCTATCAGTTATTACTACAAGCGCAGTATGATATTCAATACCTACAGTGAAAATTGTTTTTAACAATGTAATGTCTGATCTGTTTTGAAAGTGATTTTAAAATAAAGAACTAACCATAACCAGGTGGCAAAAATCCAAACACGTTTCATTTTCTTTCTCTCTCTCTCTCTTTCTTTCTTTCCTTCTCTCTCTCTTGATAGGAGAAAGCAAATGCGGAGAGAAATGCTGTTCCACTCACATAAAAAGTTACAACTCAGTTTTTACAGCACCCATTTCTTTTTAAAAAGCCTCATAAAACTGAGTAAGATGCTTACAGTAATTAAAATTTGGGAATTTTATTTCCAAAAGATGCTACAGTTGCTTATAAAAACTGCTGATGCCTTAGAGATTATGAAAATATGTTCTAAAGTGTGAAGGTGTGTGTGAAGGGACACTTGTCTGTTTTATTCTCTGTATATCTTGAGAACTAGAACAGCCAGGTACATACGAGATACAAAAGAAACATTTGCTGAATGAGTCACAAACTAGTTAAGATATGGACCTACCTTTGTAATTCTTTACCATGCAAAATAAAAGCCATTAGCTATTTTGCCCAGCATAATCCTGCTCTATGGTCACCCCTGGACTCTTGAGATCTAGTGAAAGCTGAGCTCTGCTGGACAGGCAGACCCTGAAGGTCTGAGGTGATCAGTCATTCCCTAAGCTCCACTCTGAATGCAGCCACACACTGAAGCAAGTCCAAAAATGAAGAAAGAGACACAGGGCAACACAATGCATAAAAGGACAGAGGAAGGACGAGGCAGAGGGAGCAGGATGGTAAAGTAAAAACATATTGAAGCTTTTTTTTAAGCATATTATGTAGCACCTACAAATTTTATATCTCCATTTAAACAAAAAGGTTTTTGCCTGGTACAGAAATAACATAGCGCTCACTTCAAAATAGACAGACTGTGGGAGGATGGCGTAAAAGCACTGAGCAGGGCCACGTGCACCCTTGGGCTGGTTGAAGATTTCAGTTTAGAACCTCCAGGTCAGGAAGTAAAAAGAGGTTACTTAGGTTTTGCTAGTAAAGTGGGGATAAAAGGGATGGGGAGGGGAGCCGCTGGGGATCCAATCTTAAATCTACGTCTTAGTCTTGATGAGGCACCTCTTGTTGCTGAGTTCCCAGTGGCATTTTCAAGATTTCTGTAATCACTAGTTGTCACTCTTTGCCATTAGTGAAGGGAGTTGCAAAGGGGAGGAAAGTATAAGCTAAAAAAGTCTACCACCTTATGTCAGAAGTGATAAATGCATTAACAGTGACTTGGAACAAATCTGAGAGTCACAAGGATGAAAAGGTTTCATCATGAGGATGAATGGGTAATCTGGGGCGGGAAGGACTGGCTGTAAAACAGACAGAATAAGAAAGCAGGGAAAGGAGAAAATGAAAGAGAGAAAGGAAAAATAAAAGGAAGGTAGAAAATAAGGGAGAAAATGATAGGAAAGATTCTTATTCTCTATGTAAGACTCATTCAGATAGAGCCCAGAGCAAGCACTTCAGAATCAATCAGGCGATCAGAGCCTTATTAAATAAAAAGGTCCTTCTCTGTTTGTGAAGATGGTTTTCTTTTCATCTGCAAATAATGAAACATACATGATTCCGATAGAGATTAAAAGGAATATGTTCCATGAGGCTGTGGAGAACCCCAGAGAAACATATACAGAAAAGAAGCATCAGGACAGGTGCTTCCTGACCTTGACTTGGCTGAGAGTCTGATGAAGTCTCCAAGGTAAGAAGCATGAATGAGCTTACACAAGAAACCACTCAGAAGTGCAGCTCTTCGCTGCATGAATACAACACAGAGAAAATCTGCTGTGTAGGCGTGCAGTCGTCCTCCTTGAAAACAGATGGTGATACCGTCGTGTCATGGAAAATGTTTCTTTCCCATTTCATGAACTAGAGGCATTTGAAAAGCAGCTAAAGCATAAGTTTCAGATAGTGCCATAGAAAAGATATTTTAATCTTAATCTGTAATAGGTTGTATTGGATGTATTGTTTCAAGTGGTAACAGAAAACTATAGGTAATGAAGGAAAGAAAGAAAACTACCTTCTTTCTTTCTTTTTGGGGCCTTCTCAGGTCCCAAAAAACATTCAAAAGCTAAATCCAGAGAAAACTACCCCAAATTAGTCCTGAGTTGGGCCACCCCATGTTTTATCACGACTGTGAGAACATAAGCATGACTGCCTCTCCTGTAGCATATCCCAGGCTTCGTAAATGCTGCCCATGACCTTTTAGGCTGTAAGGGTTTTGTGATGAGGAAGGCCAAAGCTATATTAAGGATGAGATGGACTGAAGTCATATTTTCTTCACCACAGATTTGGGGGTGAGCATAAGGAAGAGAGCTGGAGCCTCGCTGAAGAAATGTCAAATACACTGCTTAAAAAGAAAAATCAATTTCAATTATATCACACAACTTCTGGAACTGGTGCTGTCTGCTGAGGAGAAAATAATGATAATAGTAAAAAGATATTTATGAAAACTTTAATGGTATAATCATTGACACCAAAATACACCTGTCTATTCTATTCGACTCTGTTCCTTCTTGGCTCAGACAATTTCATTTTGAAGTGTTATGAGACTAGTCTCAGGGAGTAAGACTCAAGAAAACAGAGGGATGTTTCCCAATAGCTACAGAATTGCTCACATACCCTAATGTAGAGGTGATTCATAACTTTATTGTGTCATGATTATCCCATGTGTGGCTAATTTTTGTGATCTTTATTGTTGGGTATTTTACCAATATGCTTTTGTTGGTGCTTCTAAGATGATCCTGGCCCCAATTTTCACTTCCATTTTCTGAGTGTGACTGGAGTTGCCCATTTCCCAACTGACCACAGCATTGCTTCCCAATTCTTTCCTTGTCTCTTTGACTCCATCTGATCTACTGACGCTCTGGTTAGGACTCTGAATTCAGTTTTACCGAATTCTGCCATGAGAGTTGCAGATGTCAGAACAGGACAAGGACAAAAGAAATTCAAGATTCATTCATTGCCTTTCTGGCAATATAACTTCTTCTTTATAAAAGACTTAGTGGCACATATTGAACAGACAAATTATAATTAATACACATTTTTCATTGATGATCCCACACTAAAGCCCATTTTTGGTCTAAAGAGGACAAAGTAAATGTGGATGGGTCAATACAAATCCATGAAAGTTCATGGAAAACGCAAGCAAGCAAACAAACAAAAACCACACACCAAATCAACCAAACTGAGCCAAAACAAAACAAAACTTTCAAAACATGCCTGAAGAATGATGATAGTGACATCTTCATATTCAAAGGCTGGCAAGTGTTCATGATTATATGTCACTAGTGCTCTTTCAGTACAAGTCCTTGCAGAAATATGTCTCTCAGGGCACCTGTGTTTTCGCAAGGCTCGTTTTTCACATTTCTTTTATGGGACACTTCTTTCTATAAGAGAAATGTTGAGTTGCCTGGGAGTGTGATAAATATTTACCAAGTAAGGAAAAAGGAAAGAATTCAAAGTGAATACGTCTAAAAATAAAAGATTTCTAATATACCAGTTAAAGCATTTTTTAGGTAAGATTACTGCAAGAAAAAAAAAAAGAAAGATGAGAGATTAATGGAAAACTAAAACTAGCCTAAGGCCCTTTATCAATGCTCAGGCCAAAAGAAAAACTAACCATTGCACTATTTTTGTGGCTTTCTGGAAGACCTCTGTACATCTGGACTTCTACTGTTCAGGTCCACTTTGGTTATGATGGATGTTGCTTTTTAAAGGAGGAGTATTATTTAAATCAGATGAACAACATACATTTCCATCTCTTACATTTACCTGTTAATTACAGTTCCTGGCAGTAGTACAGAACAAAAACAAAACCTCTTAAATCCTCACTGATGAGAGCTCCATGCTGAATGACTTTCATCTCAGCATTTAAAGGAAATCCAGTCAGGCTAGTGAATATGTCACATCTACCAGTTCTAACAATCCCTCAGGATTTACTTTTTCTTTTTCCAACAATTTCAAGAATTTTTCTTGCAGGAAAGCAATTCTTCATTAAAAGCGAGATACTCTGGTGAGCCAGGCTTAAGTTAATGGTCACTGAGAGACAAACATTTAAATGTGCAGTAAATTCACTTTCCCCAAAGATGGGGTTTCCAAGAGGTGAATTACGCATCACTTCCACCCACTCCTGACTGGCCCTGCCCAGGGCAGTAATGGGTCGCTTAGTGCTCCAAGGATGAGTGCACTTGCATGGGGGAAAGTGTAAATTCCAAAAGGGATTTATGTGCACAGAACCAGACCCTGAACTGGATCTCCAGAGCTACATTTTATGACTAAGCATACATACAACTCTTGCTTTTAGCACAAAGTCTTTAACCTTGCCCACACTCTCCTTTTTGTTGACCTTAATTTGATCTACATTCGACCACCCTCCTTAATTTCTCCTTGAAGTCCAATTTTTTCCTAACTTTCATCATCATCGCCATCCCCTCTTGCTTGCCATGGGCCACATCCCCTCCTCTGCAGAGTGAAGTTGCAAAAGCAGAGTAAGATCTGGGACCTGGGAAGACTTGGCCTGGGAAACTTTATGGTCTCAAAGGAAACCTCAGACAAATGTAAATGAAATTACAACATCATCCTATAAACCTGACAAAGACACTGGGTATCTGGATAAAGCTAACTGCCTATCTGCTATTAAAGAATTGCTGAATTGGTTGCTTCACCAACTCCTACTTCTCACAAAATTTCCCCTCAGCACTCCTATTCATTCCACGTGCTCCAGTTTTGCAAAACCTGTAGCTGGGTCAAAGTATGCCCACTTGTTTTGGAAGAATATTAGGAAGTACTTATCTCAAAGAGTTGTTGGGGGAACTAGGTGAGTGAGTACATATAAAGTTCCCACATAATCCTTTATGTAGACTAAGTACTCAATAAATGTTAGCTTTGATATTATTTCTACCTATGTACAGCCCTGGAAGCAGCCCAAGACAAGTTCCTCTGACTTATTTCCTTTCTGTTCTAAGGAATCAAAGGTGTCAACTCAAGAACCAACTAGTAAACCATTGAGGTTAACAAAGCCACTCCCACTGTGCCCACTACTGGATGTGTTCTTGGGACCTCAATAATGCAGCTTGAGTCCATACTGATGATAGATACAAGCATGGGTCTACTCGAGGAAACTGACAAATGTGGACAACCCCTGTCTATTGTACACACTTTCAGGCAGGCCTAGAGTCCCTCCCAGATCTGCAGCTTCAACCTCACTTTCATGTTGTTATCCAGAGAATTCAGTGCCTATCTTTGTCTGGGGTGCTGCCCAAAGCAAGTCTCACATACATGCACATGTCAGCTAAGGCCATCCTGCTCATTAAGATAGGTATACTACTGCCTTGAAACATCCAACGCCCTCGAAACACTTCTGAGGAACTCTAGGAGATGGAGGGATGGTGATGGCTGGTTCCTGCTTCCTTCCTCTGCTAAATTCTTACTCGCCCACTGTTGGTCATGGGGCTTTGCATTGATTTCAGCTCTGTTTACCACAAAATAGAACTTAGCCCCTTTCCTTGGTTGCTACCAAAAAAAAAAAAAAAAAAAAGCCACATACAAAGACCTGGTTTTTGACAGACTTTATTAAAAGTTTGAAAAGATGGAGAGAATTTACAGTGCAACAGGGCAAACTCCTTAAAAATACTTAGTGGCCTTTTCTGTTCTTGAAAGCTTCTCAGCCACATAACCGTGATGCTTGAAAAGGTGTTTTTCACCTCTTTTCTCTCAGCTATTCCTCTCAAGGGCAAACACCCACTCTGATCCTAAATTTCTCCCATTATTTTATGCAGAGCATTTCAGCTGCCTTAGCTCCTTTGCCTGTCTAAGCTTGGAAAAGAGGGAACTGGAGAGATATCAGGGTTTAGAGGAGGGATGGAAAGAAATCTGCCCCACCCCTCACTATGGGTGCATGCATTTCCCATGGGTGGAGTGAGTAACACACATGGAGGAGAGCTGGTCCTGAGCTATCCTGGGCATCTCCCACCCAAAAACCTTCCATTTCTAGGAGAAGGCCTCAGCAGCAGGGGGCTCTGGGTAGACCAATGGTGGCAGGACTCAAGAAAGGTAAGTGGAGGTGGAAACAAGCTTCATAAAGTGGTTCATGAAATGTTTAACACAGGCAGGGGCTGCCTTAGTGTTTTCTGGAACACAATCTGGTAATTACCTTGGGCTTACTGTTCAAAAGGCACATTGCTGTCAAAGAAGAGAGACCATAATGACACATACTAACACACACACCAACATGAGTTCATATTTACAGAAACACTGACGTGAGTAGATATTTACAGAAGAAATGCACCTAAGATTTTCACAGAACACTCACTGCGCTAGGTATTTTGCACACACTATTTTATTAAATCTTCACAAACTGTCCTTCATAGTACTATTATTATCCCCATTTTTACAACAGAGGAAATTGCAACTCAGAGAAGCTAGTTAACTTGAGCTGGCCCTTAAAAATACTAAAATTTCTACCTGTACCAGGGCTTTTGCATCACTTCTGTTTGGATCCATTCCCTCCAGTAATCCAGAACTGTCTTCCTTGTGTTCTCCATGCTTCTGTCCTAACATCAGCAGACCAGGGAGGCCTTTGTATCCATCCTATGCCAGAGAGCACTCTCCTCCCAACCAGCTGTCTGTCTCTTTTACTCCACTCCTTTTCTTCTCTATAGCACACACCACCATCTGTATCTACTTGTCTTCAATTTATTGCATTTCTTCCCCTGTCATTCAACCAAGATATAAGCTCTATCAGGGCAGGGACTGTACCTTGTTCACTATAGTGTTCTTAGCATCTAAGATAGGACTTGGCTCAGGGTATGCACTTACTAGATATTTGTTCAATGCATGAATTAATCAATGAATGAACTGTAAGTGTATGGACTATGACTCTGTTCCACCCAAATTTATTTTAAAATGGTGCCCTCATACTCAATGAATGAGGCTCAGAGCCTAGGTGACTATTGCTTACATGTTTGAACATGTAATGGATTGCAAGTGAAAAGAATCACACCTCTTTCTAGGGTGCTGATGAAGATTTTTGTGGAGGAGGTGGCATTTTTAGAGTTTAGTTATATTTATCTACATGTTTACTTCAGCACCTCATATCATCATGCTTATGTGCTTTTCCAAACACGCTAATTGAAGATTAAACAATCTAAATAGGTAGAAAGAACATCTTTTTGTCTTAAATATCATTCTCTCCATATATATTTTTAATTTTATTTTAAATTCCAGGATACATGTGGAGGATGTGCAGGTTTGTGACATAGGTAATCGTGTCACGGTGGTTTGCTGCACCTATCAAACCATCACCTAGGTATTAAGCCCCACATGCATTAGCTATTTATCCTGATGCTCTCCCTCCCCCTGCCCCCCTGACAGGCCCCAGTGTGTGTTGTTCCCCTCCCTGCATCCATGTGTTCTCATTGTTCAGTTCCCATTTAGAAGTGAGAACATGCGGTATTTGGTATTCTGTTCCTGTGTTAGTTTGGTGAGGATAATGGCTTCCAGCTCCATCCATGTCCCTGCAAAGGACATGATCTTGTTCCTTTTATGGCTGCATAGTATTCCATGGTATCTCTGTACCACATTTTCTTTATTCAGTCTATCATTGATGGGCATTTGGGTTGATTCCATGTCTTTGCTATTGTAAATAGTGCTGCAATGAACATATATGTCCATGTATCTTTATAATAGAATATATCATTCCATATTGTTGATGTGTTAGTGTGTTTTCTTTAAACAGCCACTCTACTAATTCTTCACTAAAAATAACCACAAAATAAACATCCACCTCATTAATCCTCCACTAGAAAAGATATATATACATATATTTTTGCATTATGTGCCAGTTGGGTCATAAAATACCTGATGTTTAATGCTAAAAAAGTGAATGCTGTGAACTGAGTGTTTCAGAAACTTGTCCATTTCCCAAGAGCACTTTTTTTTATAAACAAAGGAAAAACAAAATGAATGCATTATGTGAAGGTTATTCTGAAGTTAATTTATTATATGAGAGAGCTGTTACATATCACTTAGTTCTAAAGGAGTACTTTTTCTCTTTTATCAAGATTTAAGAATCACGACAAATATAAATTTAAACTGAAGGAATATTTATGCAAAATTGGGAATCTTGAGCAGAGATAGAAGATGCTATAAATTTAGTGGAAATGTTTTATTTAGAAGACTTTATTATTAAACTGCTCTTATAATTTACAATAAAATAGAACTCTTTCTAGAGACAGTGAAATAGAAAATAAACATTAGTTTTTATTATAAAATTCTAGGGGCAAGTAATACTTCTTTTTTCCCCCCTCTACCTCCAAATACATACAATTTATTTTACAGTCATCTGTAGAGTGTCTAAAAATACACTACCATAAATGCATCTGATTAACATCACACTATCCTCAAAACATTTGTATTAAAAAATGGTTTTTTATTTTATTTTAATTTTTTTATTATTTTTTTATTTTTATGTTTATTTTATTTTATTTCATTATTATTATACTTTAAGTTTTAGGGTACATGTGCACAATGTGCAGGTTAGTTACATATGTATACATGTGCCATGCTGGTGTGCTGCACCCATTAACTCGTCATTTAGCATTAGGTATATCTCCTAAAACTATCCCTCCTCCCTCCCCCAACCCCACAACAGTCCCCAGAGTGTGATGTTCCCCTTCCGGTGTCCATGTGTCCTCATTGTTCAATTCCCACCTATGAGTGAGAATATGCGGTATTTGGTTTTTTGTTCTTGCGATAGTTTACTGAGAATGATGATTTCCAATTTCATCCATGTCCCACCAAAGGACATGAACTCATCATTTTTATGGCTGCATAGTATTCCATGGTGTATATGTACCACATTTTCTTAATCCAGTCTATCATTGTTGGACATTTGAGTTGGTTCCAAGTCTTTGCTATTCTGAATAGTGCCGCAATAAACATACATGTGCATGTGTCTTTATAGCAGCATGATTTATAGTCCTTTGGGTATATACCCAGTAATGGGATGGCTGGGTCAGATGGTATTTCTAGTTCTAGATCCCTGAAGAATCGCCACACTGACTTCCACAATGGTTGAACTAGTTTACAGTCCCATCAACAGTGTAAAAGTGTTCCTATTTCTCCACATCCTCTCCAGCACCTGTTGTTTCCTGACTTTTAATGATTGCCATTCTAACTGGTGTGAGATGGTATCTCATTGTGGTTTTGATTTGCATTTCTCTGATGGCCAGTGATGGTGAGCATTTTTTCATGTGTCTTTTGGCTGCATAAATATCTTCTTTTGAGAAGTGTCTGTTCATATCCTTTGCCCACTTTTTGATGGAGTTGTTTGTTTTTTTCTTGTAAATTTGTTTGAGTTCATTGTAGATGCTGGATATTAGCCCTTTGTCAGATGAGTAGGTTGCAAAAATTTTCTCCAATTTTGTAGGTTGCCTATTCACTCTGATGGTACTTTCTTTTCCTGTGCAGGAGCTCTTTAGTTTAATTAGATCCCATTTGTCAATTTTGGCTTTTGTTGCCATTGCTTTTGGTGTTTTAGACATGAAGTCCTTGCCCATGCCTATGTCCTGAATGTTAATGCCTAGGTTTTCTTCTAGGGTTTTTATGGTTTTAGGTCTAACGTTTAAGTCTTTAATCCATCTTGAATTAATTTTTGTATAAGGTGTAAGGAAGGGATCCAGTTTCAGCTTTCTACATATGGCTAGCCAGTTTTCTCAGCACCATTTATTAAATAGGGAATCCTTTCCCCATTGCTTGTTTTTCTCAGGTTTGTCAAAGATCAGATAGTTGTAGATATGCGGCGTTATTTCTGAGGGCTCCGTTCTGTTCCATTGATCTATATCTCTGTTTTGGTGCCAGTACCATGCTGTTTTGGTTACTGTAGCCTTGTAGTATAATTTGAAGTCAGGTAGCATGATGCCTCCAGCTTTGTTCTTTTGGCTTAGGATTGACTTGGCAATGCGGGCTCTTTTTTGGTTCCATATGAACTTTAAAGTACTTTTTTCCAATTCTGTGAAGGAAGGCATTGGTAGCTTGATGGGGATGGCATTGAATCTATAAATTACCTTGGGCAGTATGGCCATTTTCACGATATTGATTCCTCCTACCCATGAGCATGGAATGTTCTTCCATTTCTTTCTATCCTCTTTTATTTCATTGAGCAGTGGTTTGTAGTTCTCCTTGAAGAGGTCCTTCATGTCCCTTGTAAGTTGGATTCCTAGGTATTTTATTCTCTTTGAAGCAATTGTGAATGGGAGTTCACTCATGATTTGGCTCTCTGTTTGTCTGTTATTGGCATATAAGAATGCTTGTGATTTTTGTACATTGATTTTGTATCCTGAGACTTTGCTGAAGTTGCTTATCAGCTTAAGGAGATTTTGGGCTGAGACAATGGGGTTTTCTAGATATACAATCATGTCATCTGCAAACAGGGACAATTTGACTTCCTCTTTTCCTAATTGAATACCCTTTATTTCCTTCTCCTGCCTAATTGCCCTGGTCAGAACTTCCCACACTATGTTGAATAGGAGTGGTGAGAGAGGGCCTCCCTGTCTTGTGCCAGTTTTCAAAGAGAATGCTTCCAGTTTTTGCCCATTCAGTATGATATTGGCTGTGGGTTTGTCATAGATAGCTCTTATTATTTTGAGATATGTCCCATCAATACCTAATTTATTGAGAGTTTTTAGCATGAAGGGTTGTTGAATTTTGTCAAAGGCCTTTTCTGCATCTATTGAGATAATCATGTGGTTTTTGTCTTTGGTTCTGTTTATATGCTGGATTACATTTATTGATTTGCGTATATTGAACCAGCCTTGCATCCCAGGGATGAAGCCCACTTGATCATGGTGGATAAGCTTTTTGATGTGCTGCTGGATTCGTTTTGCCAGTATTTTATTGAGGATTTTTGCATCAATGTTCATCAAGGATATTGGTCTAAAATTCTCTTTTTTGTTTGTGTCTCTGCCAAGCTTTGGTATCAGGATGATGCTGGCCTCATAAAATGAGTTAGGGAGGATTCCCTCTTTTTCTATTGGTTGGAATAGTTTCAGAAGGAATGGTACCAGTTCCTCCTTGTACCTCTGGTAGAATTCGGCTGTGAATCCATCTGGTCCTGGGCTCTTTTTGGTTGGTAAGCTATTGATTAAAGCCACAATTTCAGAGCCTGCTATTGGTCTATTCAGAGATTCAACTTCTTCCTGGTTTAGTCTTGGGAGGCTGTATGTGTCGAGGAACTTATCGATTTCTTCTAGATTTTCTAGTTTATTTGCGTAGAGGTGTTTGTAGTATTCTCGGATGGTAGTTTGTATTTCTGTGGGATCGGTGGTGATATTCCCTTTATCATTTTTTATTGCGTGTATTTGATTCTTCTCTCTTTTCTTCTTTATTAGTCTTGCTAGCGGTCTATCAATTTTGTTGATCCTTTCAAAAAACCAGCTCCTGGATTCATTAATTCTTTGAAGGGTTTTTTGTGTCTCTATTTCCTTCAGTTCTGCTCTGCTTTTAGTTATTTCTTGCCTTCTGCTAGCTTTTGAATGTGTTTGCTCTTGCTTTTCTAGTTCTTTTAATTGTGAGCCAAGATGGCCGAATAGGAACAGCTCCGGTCTACAGCTCCCAGCATGAGCGACACAGAAGACGGGTGATTTCTGCATTTCCATCTGAGGTACCGGGTTCATCTCACTAGGGAGTGCCAGACAGTGGGCGCAGGACAGTGGGTGCAGTGCACTGTGTGTGAGCCGAAGCAGGGCAAGGCATTGCCTCACTTGGGAAGCGCAAGTGGTCAGGAAGTTCCCTTTCCTAGTCAAAGAAAGGGGTGACAGATGGCACCTGGAAAATCGGGTCACTCCCACCCCAAGACTGCGCTTTTCCAACGGGCTTAAAAAACAGCACACGAGGAGATTATATCCTGCACCTGGCTCGGAGGGTCCTATGCCCATGGAATCTCACTGATTGCTAGCACAGCAGTCTGAGATCAAACTGCAAGGTGGCAGTGAGGCTGGGGGAGGGGCGCCCGCCATTGCCCAGGCTTGCTTAGGTAAACAAAGCAGCCCGGGAAGCTCGAACTGGGTGGAGCCCACCACAGCTCAAGGAGGCCTGCCTGCCTCTGTAGGCTCCACCTCTGGGGGCAGGGCACAGACAAACAAAAAGACAGCAGTAACCTCTGCAGACTTAAATGTCCCTGTCTGACAGCTTTGAAGAGAGCAGTGGTTCTCCCAGCACGCAGCTGGAGATCTGAGAACGGGCAGACTGCCTCCTCAAGTGGGTCCCTGACCCCTGACCCCCAAGCAGCCTAACTGGGAGGCACCCCCCAGTAGGGGCAGACTGACACCTCACACAGCCGGGTACTCCGCTGAGACAAAACTTCCAGAGGAACAATCAGACAGCAGCATAGGCGGTTCACGAAAACCCACTGTTCTGCAGCCACCGCTGCTGGTACCCAGGCAAACAGTGTCTGGAGTGGACCTCTAGCAAACTCCAACAGACCTGTAGCTGAGGGTCCTGTCTGTTAGAAGGAAAACTAACAAACAGAAAGGACATCCACACCAAAAACCCATCTGTACATCACCATCATCAAAGACCAAAAGTAGATAAAACCATGAAGATGGGGAAAAAACAGAGCAGAAAAACTGGAAACTCTAAAAAGCGAGTGCCTCTCCTCCTCCAAAGGAACGTAGCTCCTCACCAGCAACGGAACAAAGCTGGACGGAGAATGACTTTGACAAGTTGAGAGAAGAAGGCTTCAGATGATCAAACTACTCTGAGCTACAGGAGGAAATTCAAACCAAAGGCAAAGAAGTTGAAAACTTTGAAAAAGATTTAGACGAATGTATTAACTAGAATAACCAATACAGAGAAGTGCTTAAAGGAGCTGATAGAGCTGAAAGTCAAGGTTCGAGAACTATGTGAAGAATGCAGAAGCCTCAGGAGCTGATGCGATCAACTGGAAGAAAGGGTATCAGTGATGGAAGATGAAATGAATGAAATGAAGCGAGAAGGGAAGTTTAGAGAAAAAAGAATAAAAAGAAACGAACAAAGCCTCCAAGAAATATGGGACTATGTGAAAAGACCAAATCTGTGTCTGATTGGTGTACCTGAAAGTGACGGGGAGAATGGAACCAAGTTGGAAAACACTCTGCAGGATATTATCCAGGAGAACTTCCCCAATCTAGCAAGGCAGGCCAACATTCAGATTCAGGAAATACAGAGAACACCACAAAGATACTCCTCGAGAAGAGCAACTCCAAGACACATAATTGTCAGATTCACCAAAGTTGAAATGAAGGAAAAAATGTTAAGGGCAGCCAGAGAGAAAGGTCGGGTTACCCTCAAAGGGAAGCCCATCAGACTAACAGCGGATCTCTCGGCAGAAACTCTGCAAGCCAGAAGAGAGTGGGGGCCAATATTTAACATTCTTAAAGAAAAGAATTTTCAACCCAGAATTTCATATCCAGCCAAACTAAGCTTCATAAATGAAGGAGAAATAAAATACTTTACAGACAAGCAAATGCTGAGAGATTTTGTCACCACCAGGCCTGCCCTAAAAGAGCTCCTGAAGGAAGCGCTAAACATGGAAAGGAACAATTGGTACCAGCCACTGCAAAATCATGCCAAATTGTAAAGACCATCGAGGCTAGGAAGAAACTCCATCAACTAACGAGCAAAATAACCAGCCAACATCATAATGACAGGATCAAATTCACACATAACAATATTAACCTTAAATGTAAATGGACTAAATTCTCCAATTAAAAGAAACAGACTGGCAAATTGGATAAAGAGTCAAGACCCATCAGTGTGCTGTATTCAGGAAACCCATCTCACGTGCAGAGACACACATAGGCTCAAAATAAAAGGATGGAGGAAGATCTACCAAGCAAATGGAAAACAAAAAAAGGCAGGGGTTGCAATCCTAGTCTCTGATAAAACAGACTTTAAACCAACAAAGATCAAAAGAGACAAAGAATGCCATTACATAATGGTAAAGGGATCAATTCAACAAGAAGAGCTAATTATCCTAAATATATATGCACCCAATACAGGAGCACCCAGATTGATAAAGCAAGTCCTGAGTGACCTACAAAGAGACTTAGACTCCCACACAATAATAATGGGAGACTTTAACACCCCACTGTCAACATTAGACAGATCAATGAGACAGAAAGTTAATAAGGATACCCAGGAATTGAACTCAGCTCTGAACCAAGCAGACCTAATAGATATCTACAGAACTCTCCACCCCAAATCAACAGAATATACATTTTTTTCAGCACCACACCACACCTATTTCAAAATTGACCACATAGTTGGAAGTAAAGTTCTCCTTAGCAAATGTAAAAGATCAGAAATTATAACAAACTGTCTCTCAGACCACAGTGCAATCAAACTAGAACTCAGGATTAAGAAACTCACTCAAAACCACTCAACTACATGGAAACTGAACAACCTGCTCCTGAATGACTACTGGGTGCATAATGAAAGGAAGGCAGAAATAAAGATGTTCTTTGAAACCAATGAGAACAAAGACACAACATACCAGAATCTCTGGGACACATTCAAAGCAGTGTGTAGAGGGAATCTGATAGCACTAAATGCCCAAAAGAGAAAGCAGGAAAGATCCAAAATTGACACCCTAACATCACAAAAAATGGTTTTTTATTTATTAAAAATAAATAAGGTGATCCATTGCTAATATTTTTACTTGTGTCACTATTTCTGCTACTGCTAATTCTTGCTACTACCACTACCACAACCACTACCTACATCCCACCCCAATCACCACCATTAGCACTTAATAATTTACAAAAAGCTTTCAATACATGACCTTATTACTCATTACATCTTTACAACAGACCTATGAGATTTCCATACATACCTCATGATCCATATTACAGATGAGAAAAATGGGCAGAAAAAATCAATAACTTGTCCAAGGTGAAAAAGTAACAGAGCCATTATTTGAAGCTGGATCTATCTGATGCCAAGTTACCTCATCCAAAATGAGGATATTACAATAAAAAGATTCCAAAGCAATAAAATGCCATATGTGATTATCCTGCATTTTCCCTAACAGGTTAACACCTTCCCCTGCTCCCTGCCAATTTTTATCCTGTCAACATGAAAAGAAATTCTTTATTGGATTACCTACAATGCAATGTAGTTGCAAGCAATTGACTTCTGTTTTTCGAGACTCAGAAACTTTATCAAGTTTACCACCATGGTGAATGTTATTATAACTTGAGAAATAGTTTATCAGATTAGCCTGCTAAATAAAGTATCAGTGAGCAAAGATATGCAACCAATTTGTTATGTGTAAGATACACTCATCTAGATAAAAATGCTCCTTGCCCTTCTGGGCTAATGCAAATGAGAGGAAAATCTCATTGACAGAATGGATAAGAAAACAAACTGCTAAGGTCTCAACAAGAGGGAATTGAGAAGCACCCCAAGTTTTGCACGCTTAAGGAAAGCCTCAGGCACCAAAAGGAAGAAGTGGGCCCAAGTAATAAGTAAAACTCCACTCACTGGAGGAGATGGGTACAATAAATTAGGGTATTATGTGTGTGAGTGTATATATATTATATATTATGGAGGTATACATATATAAGTATATATTATACATACATGGCAAACATCAAGGTGTTAGCAGTGTCTGGAGGAGAGCTGTGTTTATGGTTGGTTGTAAACTTTCTTCTTGTTTTTCTGTATATATTTATTTCTTCTACATTAAAAATGGATTGTCATTGTAATAGGAAAAGGTAAAGTATAATAATATTTTTGCATTTTTTTGTTTTAATATTTTTGGAACCATTTAGAATATTTCAGCTATAATGATGCTTCATCACTAACAACTTCAGCAAACATCTCATAACTCAAGCACATTCTCCTACCAATCATAATACCATTATTATACCAAGAAAATTAATGATAATACCCCAATATTCTCTAATATCTGATCTACATGCATATATCTATAGCTGTTTGCTAAATGTCTTTCATAGGTGCTTTTTTTTTTTTGAACGAAGATTAAATTAAGGTCCATACATCGAATTTGGAAAAATTTTTTTAAATAAAAATTGTACATATTTGAGGTATACAATGTGACATTTTGATATGCATCTACATTGCAGAATGATTACTACAGTCAAGCTAATTAACATACCCATCACCTCACATAGTTAACCTATTTTGTCCATGTGGTGAGAACATGTAAGATCCACTATTATAACAAATTTTAAGTATCCAATATACTATGGTTAACTATAGTCACTATGGTGCACATTAGAGCTCTAGAACTAATCCACCCTACGTAACTGAAACTCCGTACCCTTTAACCAACATCTCCCCATTTTCCCCATACTCTGGCCTCTGGTAATTGACATTGCTTCTAGGAATTTAATTTTTATATATTCCACATATAAGTGAGATAAGGTAGTACTTTTCTTTCTGTGTCTAATTCCACTTAGCATAATGTCCTCAAGTTTCATTCATGTTGCAAATTTCTTCTTTTTTTGTAATTGCTGAATAGTATTTGTGTGTGTGTGTGTGTGTGTGTGTGTGTGTGTGAGACATATTCTTTATCCATTCCTTTGTGGACAAACAGGTTGTTTGCATATCTTGGCTATTGTGAATAATGCTACAATGAACTGTTACTTCTCTTTGGAATCTTTTAACCTAATACAGTCTTGTCCCCAATCATGTCCCCCACCTATTCCATACACACTTTAAAAAATGACATTCCCTTTTAGTAGACATTCACATTCTTATAGATTATTCCATATTCTGGCTATGTCTGATTTTTTTCTCCTGGAACAATCGTATTTTTAATTTCCAAACTATTGTCCTCTGCTTTTTCCACAACATCTTGTTCTTGTTTTCTGAACGTGAGATCATCTCATTACACAAAATGTACTAATTACAGTACTCTTTTTTGGTAATTTTCTTCTCTTCCTTATATTTTTCCTCTACAGATTTTTTCTTTTTTTCTCTTTTTCCAGTATATGCTTTTTAAACACACCTTGTTTCACCTAAAAACCAGATACAGATGAAAAGCCATTCTGTGGTGGTTTCTATAAATCTGGGCACTATCTATGGCCAACTTCCCAGTCTATGGATATTCTAGGATCTTATTTTTAGTAAGAAGTGTTTAGATTATAGCTACTCTACTTGTGACTATCATCAATGCAAGTCCAGGGAAATGGTTCATTACTAAAAACTCAGCTATCGTTTTGACATTAGTTTTCCCAATTATTTTCCTGTCCTTCCCAGCATATCAGCCATGTATATAATTGAACTCTTATGAGTTCTTTATTTTATATGACAAATACACATATTTCATTAATTTCTCAGTAACTACTTCTCTATAATAACTATTCTCTTGCAGACACACCATTCTTGAATTTAATATTTGCTTGCCTATTTAGCAGTTGGATGAGAGTATTATGAGAAATGTGAGGTACGTGAGGTCACATCTGACTAGCTCCTTTAATGGAAAGAAAGAAATTATCTGTGTTACTGTATACTTCAGCTAAGACCAAAAAAACATGAAATTTCTCCACATCCTCACTAATACTTGTCTTTTTAAAATAATAACCATGCTAGCAGGTATGAGGCAATATCTCATTGTGGTTTTGATTTCATTTCCCTGATAATTGTTGACATTGAACATGTTTGCATGTATTGGTTGGCCATTTGTATGTCTTTTTTGGAGAAATGTCTATTTAAATCTGTCGTCCATTTCTTAATCAGGGTATTAGTTTTTTTAAAAAAACTTTTGAGTTGTAGGAGTTCTTTATATATTTTGGACATTAACCACTTATCAGATTTATGGTTTGCAAATATGTTCTCTCAATCTTTAGGTTGCTTTTTCACGCTGTTGATTGTTTCCTTTGCTGTGCATAAGCTTTTTAATTGGAGCACTTGCACACTGTTAGCAAGAATGCAAAATGTTGCAGTCTCTATGGAAAATAGTTTGGCAGTTCCTCAAAAAAATAAAAATAAAATTGCTGTATGATCCAGCAATCACACTTTTCAGTATCCATCCAAAAGAGATGCAACCATAATCTTGAAGTGTTATTAGTACTCCTATGTAAATTGAAACACTATTCACAATAGCCAAGATGTGGAAACAACCTAAATGTTCATTGACATTTGAATGGATAAAGAAAATGTGGTATATTCATGCCACGGAATACTATTCAGCCTTAAAAAGAAGAAAATTCTGCAATATGTGACATCATGAATGAATGTTGGGGATCTTATGCTAAGTGAAATATACCAGTCACAGAAAGACAAATACTGCATGATTCCACTTACCTGAGGTCTCTAAAATAGTTAAATTCATAGAATCAAAGAGCAGAATGGTGGTAAACAGGCTGAGGGGGAGGGGAAAATGGGAAGTTACTAATCAAAGGCATAACATTTCACTCAAGCAAGGTGAATAAGCTCTAGAGATCTGCTATAGGACATTGTATCTATAGTTAACAATAATTTATGGTACAAATTTTTGTTGGGAGAGTAGATCTTATGTTAAGTGTTTCTAACACAGACACACACACACACACACACACAAAACAAAAAACAAAAACAAAAACAAAAAAAAACGAAGAACAAAAAAGCCTCGGTGTTTTTTCTTAACTTTGAGATGCTACAAGTCATTTCCTTTTACTTTGTAGTTTTGTGTATATTTATATTCTTATATTTTTATTTTGCTAGTATGAAAAAGGATTTGCAGTCTCAAGTGATAGTATGAGATAGCAATTTTAAAATTCAAGGAGAGGCAAGGAGAAGTCAGGCAGGGATTTTAAAACAAGTAAAATCCACCAGGTGGATAATACATGTGATGATATTGGCAGTTAACCAGGTGAACTTAAAGTCTCTTCCAGTTCTGGGAGTTCTTTATTCTATGACTTTGGTGTTTTACAATGAGGACTTGCCTTCATTCTCTGTTCATATGAAGCCAAGACAACAAACTAACAGTGTCTATGAGAAAGAACTATTTATCATACCATTTTATTTGTGGATATGTAACTGATTGGTTTTCAATGAGTTGTTTCAGTATTTTATAAGTTCAGCCACAGGTTTACATAATGGAAGCCTTAAGAATTACTTGAATTACTAAGAAAAAATTCCCACTTATATGTTGATCATGTTTTGTTTCTTTGCTTTTCCTAACAAGGGCTATAATTTGGGAACCAAAGCTTTTGTTTGTAATTTAACATGTGACCCCTAGTACCTAATAGTGTACCGGTATACCCTAGAGGAACTCCAGAAGTACTCAGTAACCATCTATTAACCTAAGAAAATGTCCAAAATTGTTTCATTTCTCCAAATCATTGAGGGGGGCCATGGTTGGTTGTTTTCAGGCTGTTTTCCTGTCTCCATGCAGTTTTTAGTCCAAGAAATTGAACAGCAGAGTTTACTCTGGTCATTTTCTTCTTTATCACTGTTCCAAGACCACCAGGCAATTATTGCTAGCACTTACATAAATACAATTATCAGTGGCAAACTTTCTTCTATACTACTGTATAGAATGTGAACCGTGATTGTTCTCTAGGCTAATCTTTCATTGGCACCAATGGGTGATCCCAGACTGAATTTATGAATTAATAATAGGGAGCTCTAAGTGTCGGGTTTCATTTTATGTTACATCTTTTACCACCACTAGGCTCAAAATAAATCCTGCTAAGAATAGCCAAGGAGAAAAGGCTGTGGGTGGCATAACAAGGGCGACTGAAAGGCGGGTGTCTCAAAGGCAGGTGTCTCATTCACTTTAAGTGTTTACATAATTTTATGTGAAGTTTTTTTTAAAAAAAATGTGTCACTGCCTTCAGTGCAGTGTCATGTCACCTCTGCAAGGGTTTGGATTCAAATGGTGTGTCTATCATGAACAGAAATGCCAACATGTTTAAAAGCCATTTCTTCATGAAAATATAGGTTTTGCCAAAACCCACATTTGGTGCCATTTCTAAGCTACCAAAAATGTCAATTCACGTGAGCATCAATTATTACTCTTGCTTTACAAGAAACAAAATTATTTCCTTACAATTCTAGAAATTGTTAAGTTTCTGTATCTGATTAACCCTTTTGAGACACATCAATGGCTAAAATGGCTTCATCTGAGGCTGCTTCCTTTCTAATGATACTTTAATACACATGAACAAACAGACTGGCATTGTTAGGAATGAGAATCTCAAACCGGCTGTGGATTCATTTGGACTCTTCTTTGCTGTGGTTGCTGAGACAATGACAGCTGATATTTTATCACAAATGAAGCTACTCTAATATGAATTTTCATATTTAGAGATTATGTTTTTAAAAAGTATAAATAAAGATTCTCTGTGCTGGCTGCTGTGGCTCACATCTGTAATCCCAGCACTTCGGGAGGCCAAGGTGGGAGGATTGCTTGAGGACAGGATTTTGAGACCAGCCTGGGCAACATGGTGAGACCCCCATCTCTACTAAAACATTTAAAAATTAGCCAAGTGTGATGACACAAGCCTGCAGGCCCAGACACTCAGGAAGCTGAGGCAGGAGGATCACTTGAGCCCAGGAATTCAAGGCTGAAATGAGCTATGATTGTGCCACTGTACTCAAGTCTGGGCAATAGAGTGAGACATTGTCATCTCAAAAAAAAAAAAAAAATTAAAAAATAAATAAAGATAGTCTGACAAACTAGAAAACTTTAAAATGATGTGCTACTGTAAGTCTTATGCCTTCTGAGTTGTAAAAATCAGGTATTTCAACTTTTAGCCCCTGGTTCTAGTGTCAGTGGACAAGCTAAGCCATGATCGAAACCTACTACTATGATCTTGAACAAATCACTTAACATTTGTGAGGCTTGGTGTCCTCATCTAAAAATGGAAAGGGTTCAACTTGATAATTGTGGAAGTTCCTAGAAGCTTGACATATTCAATGGTTTCATGTTTCTAATATATGCAGTGTGATCTTGACATTTTCTCAGGCGGGGTCAAGCTGACAAATACCCTACCCAAGGACACTTCTAATTCCTTCATATGTCCTTTAGGTAGACAGATTTTTCCATTCTGCTCAGGCCTTTCCCTAGAGTAGTCCCTGCCCAGCAATTAGAAGCATAAAATGTCCATTCTGAATAATGCCCACTGTCATGTTTGAAGTCCCTGACCAAGTTAATTAACCCCTTTTTTCTTTATAGTAGCCATGATTATCACATTAATTTCTCTGTTGTGAAAATGTGCCGCCATAGTGTGTATGTGATTTTCCAGTACTGGTAGGAGAAATAGAGACTTTTGCCAGTTTTTATTGCTGCATTCCTTTCAACAGTAAAAGCTGAATATAAGCTACATAGTCACCCATAGGAGATGATAAAATAAGTTTAACTTTATCCTGCTATGGACAATATGTGACAGCTAAACAGAATGAGGTAGAGAGCAACATATTTTGACATGAACAGCAAATCTTGAAGGTATTCTGTTAAATGGAAAAATAGGTATTGAGCAATATGTACTATATAATACCATTTATGTAAAAATAGACACAATTATACATATATAAATAGTAAATATAAAATTGCATATTGTGAAATCCTTTAAAACCTTTCAGACATGTTGGAAATTAAGACGCTGGCAGCAAGTTAGACTGACAAGTCATTATGATTAACGCCACCACAATCAATAGTAAAATAACATTTAGCTGTATATTAATTTAAATATAAAAAATGCAAACGAAAATGATCTAGAACAGAGATCAACAAAATTTTTCTGTAAAGCGCTAGTCAGTAAACATTTCAGGCTTTGGGGGCCATGTGGTCTGTATTGCGGCTACACAGCTGAGCTGTTGCAGTGTGACAGCAGCCAGGGACAATATGTAAATAAATGGGCGTGGCTGTGTTTCAACAAAACTTTATTTACAAAAACAGGTAGGGAGCTGGATTGGCCTTTGGGTTAGAACTTGCTGACCTCTGAACTAGAACAATACAAACTAGTCTGATGAAAGGAATATCTATGTGGAACAAACTAGAACTGATGAAAATAAGTCAAGTGGAATTTTCTCTTTATCAGTATTATTAGATTCTTTTAAGTTAAAAATGTAGTCATAGGCCGGGCGCAGTGGCTCACGCCTGTAATCCCAGCACTTTGAGAGGCCGAGTGGGTGGATCACTTGAGGCCAGGAGTTTGAGACCAGCCTGGCCAACATGGCGAAACCCCATCTCTACAAAAAATGCAAAAGTTAGCTGGGTGTGGTGGTGCAAACCTGTAATTCCAGCTACTCAGGCGGCTGAGACACCAGAATTGCTTGAACTGGGAGGTGGAATGGAAGTTGCAGTGAGCCGAGATTGCGCCACTGCACTCCAGCCTGGGCTACAAAGTGAGACTCTGTCTCCAAAAAAAAAAAAAGTATTCATGAGTTACTTCTATACTTAAAAACATATTTAAAAGATTAAACTGATAATAAAAGAATAATTAGAAAATATTTCACCTGACATTTAATGCAGCAATACTCTGAATTAACCAGTTTTTCTACGATCTTCCCAATAAGCATCACATGAAGCAATCTTCCTTCCAGGAAAATGCCAGGGCTTTGTTCTCCAATTAGCTGTCCTGTGAACACTGAAATACTGTAGCCTAGAACCTACAGAGCTAACAGACAAGAAACAATGGGGGCAGAATCCCACTCTGAAAAGCTTATGGAGCAACCAACCTCTCCAGTAAATGAGGACAAGCTACCCTGTTATGTTTCCTTTTTAAATATTTTTTTTACATCAAAAACACATTGCAAGGTAGTGAGGACTTTACGGACATCCTACCAAAACAGGCTGAATAATTCTGATATTGAAAACCAGCCTAGTTTTAATTAACTGCCAGGACTCAGCCACATCCTCAAGCTCCAGATAGCCAATAACAATCTTGTAATTTCTAAATGTGAATGCCACTCAGGTGGAGACCAAATAGTGAGGTTTCAGCTTACCTCTTAAATTGTAAACATAAAATTTCAGATATCCATAGCAACCAGACCTCCCTCCACCTTAGACACTTTCCTCAAGAAAAGGGAGGAAAAAGCATTTCTGCGGTGGACAGTACATAGACAGTTGCCCATTAAAATGGTAACATTGAAATATAAATAGCCCAACCTTTTCATCATTTATTGACAAATGACTTACCAAACTGCTAGTGAAATCCTTTAAAAACCTCTCAGATATGCTGGAAATTAAGACACCAGCAACAAGTTAGATTGACAAGTAATTACAATTAATGCCACCCCAATCATTAGTAAAACACATTTAGCTATATATTTGTAGGCCAATATTTAATAGCAAAACAGAATTCTAAGAACACCACTGTGCCCAAAAGCTCTCTGATCTTTACCAATTTAGCAACCAGCCAGGCTAGAATAGAATAAATATCACATGGTCTGGGAAAATGGGCTGTCCTGATTCTGAAAGATTGTGCTGGCTCTTGATATGGGGAGCCATCTGTCAATGCTCTTTGAAAAAGTGAGAAATCAGGGCTACTTCTCTAGCATTCGTGAATCTAACCTTCTGTGCTGTCACCCTTTCCTTGGGAAATATTTCTTAAGAGCCAGATGTTAGTATTCATTTCAGTTCACAAAACAGTTACTTCCCAAGGTCTATCAGCAGCAGAATGGATAAATAAATAATGGCATAGTCACACAGTGAAATACTACATAGTCATGGTAGTGAATGAACCACATCTACATACAACAGCATGAATGCTTCTGAAACATAATGTGAAATGAAAGATGTTAGCCATGAATGCATATGTACCATATGATGACATTTGTAGAAAATTTAATAAGGGGCATAACTAATCTATGATGTAGTGGTTACCCTTGGGGGAGGAGAGACTGAATATGGACTTCTGGGTTTCTCCTTATATTCTGAATCTTGATCTGAAGACTGGTTTCATGGTATGTTCATGTCAAAAATATCAAGTTGTACACTCCTGATTTGAGTACTTTCCTGCATGCTTTTACGCTTTCAAAAAATTTACAAGCAACAACAAACAACCCCAGCACAATTGTTAATGAGCAGCATACTTTCCAGGCTCTATGAAGGAACTAGGAAAAATATGACAAGCTTTAGCCTCCAGAAACTTATATTCAAGTAGGAGAGATGAGTATAAAAAGCAAAACCATATCATTTTATGTAATAAGGTTACATAAAACATAAAAAGTATTACATATTACAGTGTTAGGTAAAGGGAGTTCCAGGAGCAATTTCTTCTGCTCTCATTGTGAGCAAAGATCACAGTAGGTGACACTCAGCCAGCCTTTGAGGACTGAGTTCAATAAATACAGGGTGAAGGAAAGGGATATTCTAGGCATGGGCACCCTGGGAGGTTAGGGCATTGCAGGATGGAAGAGCAGAAAATACTAGTGATAGAATATGAAAATCATCCACATTGTGTGGGCCTGGACAATTAAAACATGCTCATCTTTATGCATTTGTTGAGTACATCACAGTTTTCCAAAGGACACTTTACTCGTACCCAGTTGCAGGACTCTTATCTTCAAACGAGGAGTATCTTGAACACTGTTGTATCAACTGTGTAATACCGGTAAGTTTGGGGACGGAAGGGAGGGAGAAAGGAAAGAAGCCAGGCTCACATAGTAATACTCTTAACAAGCACAAGAAAACAGCAAGAACCACCACTTATGCTTCATAATTTATATGCATTGTCTGTTGCATTTCATCCTCACAACTCTAGGAGCTGGAGACTATTATTATCTCCATTTGGTGGATGCCAAAACTGAGGCTTAGTGAAGCTCACTAACTGCCCATGGCCGTATTAGCCAGTTGAAATCATTTCCCAGTAAAAAGTCTTTTAAAAGCCAGCTCTCAGGTAAAAGGCAACAGAGAACAGCCACTGCTGGAACCTGGCGGCACTAACACTGAAGCCCAGGTGACAAACACTGCACGTGGTGAACATTAAGTGCGCCCTTGGAATCTGGGGAGTGGGGTGGGGCACTGATACTCCCCCTGCAGCCTGTGTGGCAGTGGGAGCCCGTGCAGAGAACAGGCTCTAGCCAGTTCCCAAGCCCACTACAGTCTGGGCTTCTTCAGCCACTCAGCTCCTTGCACTAACAGGGGGCTGATTTCCTCTTCAGGCACATTGTCACTTGGGGTCTTTAAAACTTACAGCACTCTGGAAAATGTGTTTTTTGAATAGAGGTGTCTTTAAAAGGCACAGGAAATAAAGTAACTTAGGTCTGAACCATATTGAGAAAATACCTGGAGGAGGTTATCTGGACACCAGAAATGAGGACTTGGCCTCCTTTTGCAGGAACTACAATTTAACAGCAATGTCAGGGAAGTCACAACATTTCTACCAGGAAATATCTACAGAAATGGGTGCTATCCTGAAGGAGGAAGCAAGGCAGTACTAGTTGGGAGGCAGGAAGCTTTGTTTTGTAAGTCTGACTCTCCATTTTATTTGCCCTGGCTGTTCTTCCATAATGTAGGGTCTGATAGCAAACTGCTGAAACCAGGCCAAGTGTGGCTGGCAGGGCGCAGGCTTCCACGCCACACCACAACACAGCCCTCCTGCTATTTCAGGCCTTGGGTTCTGTGAAACAGACGCTGCTACCCTCCATCCTGGGTTGTGTGAAATTATGCGGTGGTTTGGTGAAGTCAACAAATAACTAGCGTGAACCACATTTTGGGGGAAATAAAAAAGCAGCTGGCATCAGTTCTGGTCTTCAGAAGGCAGTGAATAAGGACAGCTATCCTCTGTTGCCTCTTATCTGAGAGCTGGATTTTAAAAGACTTTTTACTGGGAAATGATTTCAAACTAACGGTTAGATTGCAAAAATAAAAATAGTATGAAGAGTGTCTGTATGCCCTTTACCCCCACACTCAACTATTGTTAATGTTTCATGTTATCATTTGCTCAGCCATCCTCTCACTCTCTCCCCCATCCCCATACTTCTTCGTGTATCTCCTAATTAAAGGGATACATTCTTCCATAACCCATAGAACAGTTATCAAGCTCAATAAATTTAACATCTATATAGTATTTTTAACTAATCCACTATTCATATTCAATATTCTCAGTTAATCCAATAATGGCCTTAAGTCCTAACACAAATGCCACCTCTACTATCACCCCATCCCTAACACTTCCCTTTCCCTTGTGACGCTCCCGTAGCCCTTAGATTTGCCTGTCTTCTGACTATTGTTATGTTCTGCCTCTCATTGTATGGACGGTCACCTCCCCTACTAGACTGACAACTTTTTGAAGTTCAGGTAAGTATCTGTTGGATGACTTTCCAGGTGCGTATATATAATATATTAGGGCTAGTATAAATGGTTGCAGAGTTCATTAACTTGTATTAGATGCTTTAAGGACTTCCATGATGTCATTTTTAAAAATGAACACTTTTTTTCCCCTCTTTGCTTGGGAAGATTCACATACTGGAATAAAATCATCTGTAAACAGAATTATTAAAAACTACAGCAGTTTTTGCTCATGAGGTCAGTTTGTTAAAATATTTTTACAAAAATTTCATTGTATTGTCATATATTTTGAGTATATAATTTGTTCGAAATTTGGATTACAATTCCAAAGCACCTTAACAAATGAAAAAACTAGTTTGAACACACACTCTGTATCTATCTGCTAAAGATTAAATTAAACACAATATGATATGGGAGGGACGACAAGTGCTGTCCATGTTGAAAAAGAGTCTCAGGAGAGGGCAGGTGGATCATTATGATTATAAAAGAACAAGGTCAACAGTGTAGCTATTAAGACAGTTAATAGACAGGTAGAGGAGGTAGTCTGAATCACAGTGTGGTTCCTTCACATCCCTCACTTGTGTCTTATCCTTACTTTAAGTTTATGTACCTTTTATTCATCTAACCACGTATAGAGAGATGAGGAAAATTTTAATGTCTTTGAAAACAGTTTCGGAAAACTGTCCATGAAGCCAAAGTTACTGTACCTTCTCAAAGGGAAAAAATAAATACATCTAAAAATAAAAAACAAAACCCTTATAATTCTAACATTCAGAAATAACCAACATTAATCATTTTTTGTAACCATTTCAGTCTTTTCTATGCATGTGTATAAAATAGATATCATTTTATCAGTATCAAATCAGATTCACATACATTTTTGTAATGTATTTATTTTGTAACTTTTTTTAACTTAAAATATATTATAAGCTGTCATTTAAAATGGCTAAATAGTACTTCACAGTATAAATGCATCTTAATTTATATAGCTAGTCTACCAGTAATAGTATTTCTAGATTTTTTACTTTGTGATATTATAAAGAATACTGCAATGAGCATTCTTACAGTCTAGTTAAATCTTTCCTGTCATTCTTAATTACTTCCTGCAGGAACAATTCCCAGAAATTGAATTGCTCAGTATGTACATTGTTTGAAATCTTATGATGATCAGTAAAACCAAGCTGCCTTTCAGCAAGATGAAGATGATTTTTAACTCCTGTAGCACTCTCCTCTGGAGCTGCTTAATGCACACCCTTGCCAACCCTGGGCATTATATTTGACAACTAAATATATGCAACAGGGCTCCTTGTTTAAATTTGGATTTCTTTAATTTATGCATCAGGGTAAATATTAAGGAACTTTATTAGAAGTTTGTACTCTCCTTTTATGAGTTTGAGGCTACAGATATTTAAATGATAAAAAGAAAAACTAAAGAAGACAAAATAACGTTTAAAGCATTATTTTAAATCCAGTAAAATGTAATTCAACTCCACATAATAAAACTGGCATAAGAAAGAAACAAGGAAGGTTTGATCCAAGTTTAAGCACAAATGTCACTTGTGAACAAAGCTCTTACTCTGCATCTATGAAGGATCAGATTATTTTGTAAAATGCCTGTCAAATTTTGGCTATTTTCTGTTTTCTAGAGAGCTGGATGTTAAAAATCAATAGAAATGTTACAGCGTTTATGCCACCTTTAGAAGGGTTAGACAGACTCATGCCCGCAACATTCAAAGCCATTTCTGTTTAGAATCTCGGGAAGGAACCTATTCCAAACTTCCAGAATCACAGCTGGCAGGCTATAATTTAGAGTTGCATACAGGATAATGTGTATTAGTCCATTACTAAGCTGTAAGTTGACACCAACCTTTGGAATTGCTTTCTCAGAGGAAATGTTGAAGAGCCAATGCCTCAATCATTTCCAACAGGGCTGGGAAAAACATTCAGACAACCCATTAGATCCTTTCATCTCACATTTTGATGATTTTCATCAAAAGGGAGGTGGAAAGGGGGTGATTAGACACAAATTTTCACTCTGGTGAACATCCAAACATGTACTTTTAAGCTCAAGACATTGATAACATATTGGCAAGTCTTGTCCCCACTTACATGAACCATCCCAGCCACCCAGAATATCCTAATGGTAATGAACGAGTTTAGAGAGAAGGGATGGGATGGTGAGCAGATACTAAAGCAAATATTGCAACTCGTATTTTGACAAGCCAAAGGCATTTCTGTGAATACCAACAGAAACCTTAAGTCACCAAGGATTAGGTTTGAGGTTTTCAGTTGCCAAAGTCTATGTTGTATTGCATTCTCCTTGAGAGATCAGAGGGCTGTCCTTGGGTGAGTCTGTGTGATTATAAAAGCTTTGGCTAAGGCCACCTAATAGTCACCTAAGAGACTCTAGGAGAGAGCCCACTTTTGACTAGGATAGATCAAAGATGTAACCTCCATTCCTGCCCATGCAGTTTACGGTATTTCTTTCACAAATCAGGATCAGACAGATACTCCCCCTTCAGCAGATTCCAAGTTGAACCACTGTGCTGTACTAGCTTTCCACATCTTTGTTTTTGGATAAACAGAGCTTGATCTAATTCTCAGCCTCCCATCAAAATTAGCTGAAGTTTAAGGAACACTCAGAATTGTTCTAATGAGTGACCTAATGTGTTTCCACATTTCGCATTCTCATCAGAAGCAGAAAAATGCCATATCCCATCTAGCTCACTGCTGTCCGATGGACATACAATGCAAGCCACATATGTAATTTAAAATTTTCTAGTGCCACATTCAAAAAGCAAAAAGAAAAGATGAAAGTAACCTTAATAATATACTCTAATAACAATCCAACATAATTTCCGTACATAACCGATATAAAAATTATTGACATATTTTCCATTCTTTTCACACTATCTTCAAAATCCAGTGTGTATTTAGTACTTACAGTACATCACAAGTTGGACTAGCCACATTTCAAATGCACAGTAGCACCATATGTCTAGTGGCTATTGTATTGGAAGGAACACACATTTAGAAATTAAGATGTTAATCAGGACTACCAAAGCAATGGGACAATTTGAGATACAAAACACAGAAGATTGTATCTCAGAATCACTATGTTCATTTCATAAACCCAGCAGTGCAAAGAAACTTGGGGAGATGCTCTGTAAATCATCCATTCAGTGCCCATGTATGCTTTCCAATAGGTCGATGACATCACACTCCAATGGGGAAAACTGTTCTCAATAATGGCCCCAAAGTACAAAGCAATGACCCTCTCTTGTTTTTCCTTGGCAAATAATACGGCTATAAAGAGGTGCCCAATATGAAGAACATACAAAATTCTTCCCATGCCTTGGTGTCACTTCCTGATAGCCATTATGCCTATTAAGTTCCAGTAAGTAATTGTTATGCAGGACCTGAATTTTTAAAAATGTATTGGTAGATAATACTTCATTATAACCTTCCCTTTCACTCAAATGCCATTTGTACAATGATGTTATATAATTTCTGAATGGGTGCATCTTGTTTAAAGCAATGAAAAGAATGTTGAACAAATATTATGGGAAAGTTTAAATTGCTTTCCAATCAACATACCATTGTTTTAACTGTGTAGAGAACTTTTGCAAATAAGCTACAAAATGTTGTTATCCCACAAAAATGATTGTTTGAGTACAGTATTCCTCCATGTAACACAACCTATAATTTAGTAATAATAATAATATTTTGCGTGTGGATAGTACCTTACATTTACAAAGCAGGGTTTACACTGTCTCATTAAGCTTCACAAGAAACCTCATAAGGCATCGATGGCAAAATAAGCGAAATACAAGTTCTTTGTCACTGGCTTTCTTCCAACATTTTACTTCTTTTGGGCACTAAGACTATTTACAAGGTCAGTGTAGGGGGTCTCTCTATTTTTTAAAAAAATTACTATCAGTGACTCTTTCAGATTGCTTTATTAACTATGTCCTAATGGTCATTGGGTTTTCACATTGAATAAGTCAGAGTTCTTGTCCTACCTTATCCTGGTCAAATAAATTCTACTAGCCAAAGCAATTCCCTTATTATCCAGTAAATTATAATTAAAGAAAATGGTGAGCTGAAGTCTTTACCCAAAGACTGATTTACCACTTAAGTCACTGTACGTGTAGTCCTGGCTGGTGTGAGAACAGCTAAGCCTCAGAACAATCCCCTGTGCAACAAGAAAAAAGATATGAAAACAGAAGGTCCCTGAAGAAATTAAAACTCTGAATTAAAACAAATTTTAATTGAAATTAATTTTAATTTGAATTAAAAATGCAAATATGACTTTAGAAAAATCCGCTCTGAGAATAGGGTCAGGAGAGAAGTTTGATGAGAACTAATGAGCTAAAATACGTCTTTAGAACTAAGAGTGCTCAAGACCAAAGAACTCAATTTCCATTTTTAGAAAAAAAAATGGAGGTAAACTAAGAAGGACTGGAAGGCTTTGAAATGACAAATAATTAAATAGTTCTACCTTTTAAAAGTATTTAAGTAGTTTTTTCAAAACCTGGAGTCCTGGTTTGACCGGGGGCTGCTGCTTTTCCTTAGTGCCTAAACCTAAAAGTCAATGAGGAAAATCAGAGGGAACGTGTTTGTGCTGGGGTGAAAAAGATACCATTTGGCTAATTATATATCAGCTACATATGTCCCAGCTCGTTGTCTTACACATAAAAGTGTGGGGAAGTCTGGGTATCACAAAAATAGCCCTTCTCCCCCAGCATGGAAATAGGAAGGAATGAGAAGGACACAAGCTTCATGTGTGGTTTTTACTTTCTCTTATGGTAAATGCCACACATGGAGTACAGAAAGAAAGGCAAACCGAGCAAAATAGGTTTTGGTTTCCTTAGTTAAACAGCTCAATATAGTTGGAAGTTCCCTCATGCCAAAGCAAGCTAACCAATCAGTCCTTCTCCAAAGAGTTTTGCCTTCTGTGTCCTACAGAAATACAAGGGTTACTCACTCTAGAGTAACGTTTGAAATATGTTTCCAAATATACCGCAGCATGTTTCAGAAGGTTTTTGAATTACTGAAACCACCTTTACACACACTAATATTAAAAAAGAAAAGAAAAAAAAATCCTGAAGAAAAATGCGATTTGCCATTTGATTTGAATGAAGATTAAAAATATAACACAGCAGCTGTTTAATTTTGTGTCATTGAAATTCCAGTTTCATATTTTTTAATTGCTACTATGAAAAATTCTTTGATTGCACTTGATGAAATTAAGTTTTGCCTTTTTAATGATTAAACATGGGAAAATTCAAGTGTGTTCTAGTTAACAATTTAAATTCTTGTGTGTGTTTAAAAGATGAAGTAAAATCTACTAGGACATTATTTTGTCTCAAGTCTAGATACAATACTCAGTAATTGCACAAAGCAGTTGCTCACTCAGTTCTTTCAAAATGACTAAACTATTCTTTCAAAGAATAAGACAGCAAGTATTTACTGGGTTAAAAGGAAACTGTAGGATCACACTGCTCACAACCATATTGCACAGCAGTCATTTTAAAGAGGAAAACGACATATTCATCATGAGTTGTGTGATAGTCTCATGAGTCACTGGTCAGTCAACACGCTCATAAATGTGGTGCACATTTGACTCCCGGGATTTCATTTTGGAAGGTGACCAGGGTGTGTGCAGACAAGAGAACAATTGAAGAACCCACTGGCTCCTCAAAGACCCCAAGATCACACAAGGAGTTTTGATGATGAAGCCCAGACCATGTGTTTCTTTCTGTAGGCAGAAAAGTCTGTCCCAGACTGTAGTTGAACACTAAGATGGAAACTGTGGAAAGAGCTAGACTTGGTCTGAAATGAATACAAAGGTAATAATGGATTGAAATTGGGGCTTGGGCCTCACACAAGGGCTCTCCCAGAAAGTGTCTCCTTGTCCTCTAGATGTATGGCATATTTAGGAATCTGTAATATTTTTGAACTTTCATAGTCATAATAACATACTCTTTATAGTCATGAAACAATGAAGCCCCCAAAATCTTGATAGGTTTATCAATATGCAGGGTAAATTTTACACATCTTATGAACAGTTCCAGTTTTTGGATGGAAAAGTCGTTTTTTCACCTCAAAGGAAATATATTTAACTTTCTTTTAAAAGTACTGGATTTACTAATGCAAGAAAATACAATGTCATGTCGATAAAGACTATAACAATCTTGGTTTTATGAACATAGCTGTAACATTAATAGCAATGTGCACAGAAAGGGGGAGACCATTTAATTGTTTCTAAACCATCAACTGAAAATTACACAATTCTTGACTGAATGTGAAAGCGGCCATCTACTACTAAGTTACTCAGAGAATCCTCCTCCAAGGATAGTCATGACAATCCTAAAAATGGGGAATGAACTTTCTCATACTTTGGATTCTTAATAAACACCTTCTGTAAGATAAAATTATAAGTCTATTTATAAGCAAAGGCAACCATGGTATTCAGAGCGCTGCAAATGGCACCTATGACAATAATAAATGTGTATGATAGCAAATCTTGGAGAACCTGTTTTCTTTTGTCTAATTTAAAGTCATCTCTTAAAAATCAACCAAGATTTAGGAAAATAATGACACTGAGATGTAGGAACAGTATATGATAATAAGAATTATTTTTTTAAATGAACTTCTAATTTTACAATAGTTTTAGTGTAAAGAAAACTTGCGAAGGCAATACAGTCTCCTTTTGGATGGACCCCTCACCCAGTTTTCCCTATTGTTCACATCATACGTTACTGCATCATTTGTCTCAACCAATACGGACACTCTAGAATCCATTCTTTACTTACAATTCTTAATTTTTACCTAATGTCCTTCTTCTGTTCCAGGATCTTATCCAGGGTACCACATTGCATTTATTCATCATGTCTCCTTAGGTGCCACTAGACATTCCTTGTTTTTGATAACCTTGAGAATTTTTGGGAAAACAGGTCAGGTATTTTCTCTGATATTCTGTTAGTGAAATTTGCGTGATGTTTTTCTCATGATTAGACGGGGTTTGTGGGTGTGGGGGAGGAAGACTACAGAAGTAAAGTGCCATGCTCCTCATCTCATTCTAAAGGCACATGCTACTAACATGATTCATTGCTGTTGATGTTGACTTTGATCGCCTGGCTGAAGCAGTGTCTGTCCAGTTCCTCGACTATAGGATTACTCCTTCCCCCGCTTTCCATATTGTGCTCCTTGGAAAGGAGTTGCTATGCACAACCCCACACTTCAGGTGTGGGGAGCTATGCTTCACCTCCTTGAAGATACAAAATTTACATAAATTATCTGAGATCCTTCTGTATGGGAGATTTGTCTATTTTCTCTCTTTATATTTATTTATTACATCATTTACGTTTACTTTATTATGGACTCCTGGCTATGTATTTTCTACTTTTGAGAATAATCCAATAATACGCTATTCATTTCATTGCTCAAGTAGTTCCAGCTTTGACCACTGGGAACTCTTTCAGTTTGCTCCTAAAGATTACTTTTTAAGAAGTTAATACATCTTTCCTGTTCTCACTTCATATTTTTCCCCAAATTATATATGAGAAGAGCATGCCAATTTTCATGTTGATTTTGAGCTGTTTTAAATATCAAAAACAGATTTTTAGATTTGGTATGTGACAGCTCACACAGAGAGGACATCTTAGTTGGTGGACAATAAAATGTTTGCCCAGAGTCCAACTAGTCCTCTTAATTAAAACTATGAATTGTTGCAGCTTTTCTCATATGATGTCATAACTTTTTCTCTTTTACTTTGTTTTACATATTTACCTAGAAGTGGCCATGAAAAGAAGCTGATTTTTAAATTATTTAGAAACATGAAACCAAACATCAAACGTGATTAACTCTGTTTGTGAAATTAATCTATATTTATGAAAATAGAATGGATATCATATGGTATTTAGAGATAAAATTAGCATAGCATATTTCTAGCTAGCCAACCCAGAAATAACTTTCTTCCTAGTCTTTGGAAAAACCTCTAAGTCTGTAACATAGGGTCAGCAACAAAATATTATGTCTAGTTTTTTTTTATTTTTGTGAGGGGGATAGTGTAACCTATGGAAAACATTATTCAGATATTTCAGTAGAATTAATTGCTAATTTGCAAGAATGCATAGCCTTATATGAATATATAAAAATACACAGCAAAACTCTAGTTTATTACTGAGCAAACAATCAGCATGTTGTCATTCAACTGTCATTCCATAATATTTCTGAGTTGCCTACTCTGTACAAAAGGAACAACTTCTTCAGTGTCCCTCCCATCTTGTCCTCAAAGGCTAGAGTAAAAAACAGTTCCTAAAACTGTTGAGAAGTACTCTTTTAAGAAGATCTCACAAGATTTAAGTTCTGATACATTGTCTATTAAAATGGAAAAGTCATGAATTCTGGGAAATTGAGGTTGTTCCCCAAATGATAATATTTATGGTATTGTTTAAGGGAAAATAATGGGGGGCATGGTAAACAAAACTGTGTTCTAACAATGAAGAATTTCAAATAAGCAATGCAAAGGAAAACAGAGAAAACTCAGCTCTCTATAAATTTTCGCCTTAAGGCCTCAGCAACCTTCCATTCACCTCTAGGAAGTTAGTTCTTTCTTTTTCCAAAGGAATTTCTTCAGCTTGACTGCTTTTACAGGTGCCAACAGCAACAAACCATCACAAAAAAAGGCAACTGCTAAATGGCACACACATGCACACCCACACATGCACATGTGTGCACACACAGACACACCCACATACTTCTCTCCTTTTTACATCTATGCTTCCACAATTTCCCTCATGAACAAGAAGCTGTTTTGCCACCGCCAGGAAGGGTGGGGAGCCCCTTAGCCCTTCTTCCTTGGTTAGCAAGTGGGGAGGAGAAGAACAAGAGAAAGGAAATGGCTGAAAGGAAAACTACAGACCCACAGGAACAACAACACCAACAAAAAACCACACCAGGCAGTGATCACTAGTGGACACTTAGACCGAGAGGCAGGGAAATTATAATGTGGCCCATAAGGTGTGAAGTGGCATAAAGAAAGCCTGACTTCCTTATTTAATGTAATCAATCAAGATTAAATGGATTCTCCTGTGCAACAGAAGAGTAAGGTTTTTTGCTCCCTCCACCAATTTGAAGACAGGGAAACGGAGGCAGAAAGGTCAGCTGACCTCCTGAAGGCCACCCAGCAAGCCTCAGCTTCTCTTTAAAATAAAGGTTTACTTTAGATACTCAAATAGACATTTTTAAATGTTGTTCAAATCCAAAAACCTCAACCACTGGTCCTCATGTTTACAGTTCAGGATTATACAAATTTCCCTTGGTCCTCTGAGGCCTCATCTAAGAGACTTGATTGATGCTCTCCTGCAGCCCCAGGCCAAGGGGCAGAATGTTTCACGGAGAACACAGCCATTAGCTAATGGAAGACATTTTTCATCCTGTGGAAGGACAGCCGACTGCAGCCAGCTACAGGGCCGGCCAAAAGTGGCACCTACCAGCTATGAAGGACGGCGAGTGCCCAGTGCCCACAAGGTGAAGAAAAACCACATGAAGCAAAGTTCAGATCCACTGAGAACTTTATCACGATGCTGTTGGCACAAACTGACGCCATCACAAAGATGACTAGCAAATGCAATTCCCGTGGTATTTTTGATACTTTCTATTTCACCACAACGTCTTCAGCAACTTGTACCGTTTTTGAATGACTGAAGGGATTGGGGATGGGGTTCTGTAAATATACCTATATAAGTGGTGGGGGTTCCAGAATGTCTCAGGAGGAGGTGCTTAAGCATAGCATTTTCTTTGGAAGGGTACTCGGGAGAGCTCTGGCTAGAAAGTTCGACTTGACGCTGTATTTACATAGCAGTTTATAATATTTTATAAATATTGAGGGACTGTCAATAGTTCATCTCAAAGAATGGAGGTGCTGGAAGGGATATAAAAGGTCTTCCTCCGATCACCTCTCAGCACTGCCTGCCTGAAAGGAGAGAAAGCTTTTGAGTCTATAAAATCATGCCCCTCCCACCCGCTTCTCGCTACCGAAGCCACGGACACCCCGTCCCCAGTCCACAATCCAGAGGCCAAGGTCGCACAGATATTTTCTCGTCATTGCACCAGGTCAGGGGATAACTGGCAAGGCCGGTTGGAAAGTGAAAGTGTAAACAGGCTTTTATTTTCCCCTTCTTTTGGCTCTCCATGAATACAACTTTCACATAAGAACCTCAAGCTGATGGAAAAATTAGATAATCACACCCGGTTGCCCTCAACTACCATACTCATCCTTACTGTGGGTCAGCTAAGGGCTCCGCAGAAAAGGGAAGAAACACTAATTGCCTGGTTTTATTGATGCCTTTGGGGAAACGAAATAGAAAAAGACACAAAGAAACAACTTTGATGAATTTAAGACAGTTTTCTCGTTCTGATTGCTTTGACTGAATTAAGATAATTTCCATGTTTTTGAAAGTGCTGAAATCAGGCTGTGAGCAGTTTTCTAAAAAGTAAGCCAGCAGCGCCCTCTACTGGCCATTTTTTGTGCAGCGTGCGGAATCCAAGACAGGACAAAGCGGCAAAACTGGGTTTAAGAGACAGGGAAATGTCCGAGGGAAGGCTGCGTATGTCAAAAAAACAATGAATGGTCACATAATAAAGGTCAGATGTGAAATCGTAGCTATTTCTCAATGGTCAGGTAAGTACTCTGTCATAAGATATATGAAAATTCGGCCCTTATATGGAAAACACAAAAAGAAAATGGAGAACAACTCAGATCTAATAGAACACAAATGTCTACTGATTATTCTATCGTTTTTATAAATAAACATATTCAAATATTAAACAAAATTTTCCCCTTTAGAGGAAACTGTTCAAATAAACATGGAGTGATATTTCTGAAACTCACATAATTTAGGCCAGTTTTTCCACTCAGATCCACACTCTGCTTACATACTCCAGTTTCAAATTTAAGGCGAAGAAAAGCTCGCCAATCAAAGGCTTTTATTGGCAATGGAAAATAAAGTTCTCTAAGCCCACAATGAAGTGACTTTATATGGGAAATATTTCATTTTGAGAAATGTTTTTATACTTGAGAAAGATAATTTTTAGTTAGAAATATTTCCATCTGTGGCTAGTTTCTTTTAAATAAATATTTTAAATATGGGCACCAGTATGACTTCTAGATGTTCTTTGTTAAGCAGTTCAGACAGAATGGTATAGTGCTGGGCATATATTCTTAGAGAAAAATCAAATCTCAAAGCTTCAAAAGTCAACAGATTCTAAGAGTACTGATAACTAGGTATTTACTTGAAGGCAAATCAATCTCTTTTCAGGTTGGGGAGATCACTTTGTTGTTGTTGAACAGATACGGATGAAAAGACTACCAAGCGCAGTTTCACTTTCTCTGCCTGTGAGCTGCAATGGGAAACCCTATTTATTGGCACATCCCAACTTAAACAGAAGAAATATCCTAACCTAACTGGAAAGCAAACAACTAAAATTTTTTTTGTTAATATGGGAATTTAGATCGTATAAATGTATAGCCCATTTGAGTGAAAAGAGAAATTTTCTCATTTCATTTCATTGACAACGAGGAATTGCATTCTGTGAATTTATGACTTTTATTTGACAGCAATTTGCCAGAGTCCTGTAGACAGTAGCACTGAAAAAAACACATTAAATACAGTGAGAGTTTCTCACACATATAGATTTATATAGTTTTATAGCTCCAAGTGAACAGGAGAATCATTTAATCTGACCCCACTCCATCAGGACATAACTCTTCTTGGTATTCAATAAATTGTTTAAAAAAATAGCTTTACCTGAAGTGTATAGAAATAAAACATAAATATGCTTCAATGATTTGGGTTTATAAAATACAAATTAAACAGAAAAATCAAAGCTCTGGAGATAGATGTAAGTTCAAATCCCAGCAACCCATCTCTTTAGCTATGTGACTTTGTTCGTGTTAGTCAAATCTTTCTGATCTCAGGCTCCTGATCTGTAAATACTTTTCAGGGTTGTACTGGAGATAATAATGCACAAAGCTTCTGGAACAAAAGTGCTCAATGAATGATAGCTATTACTATAGTTCGTTATTATGTGTTTGTCCTCCTTGGCTGTCTTTGTGACCATACAAAAATGTCACGCTTTCTGAATTAGGAAGAACTTAATTATCTAAGTAACATGAAGGAAATGCTGGCACATGAAATACAGTTAATTCACTATGTCATTTAAGATATAACTGAGATCATTCATTTCAGGGTCAAGCAATGGATCTCGAGGGGCACAGAGTAGAAAATAAAATGCCACCAGATTTTTGCTTTAATCAAAAGTCTCATCTTAATTAAAAAGCAAACAAGTGATTCCATTTAAGAGAAGTACATGAGCAATTTCATTTGCTCAGTTTCCCTTTTAGGACATGACTTCTGATTACTCAAACAAGACTTCTGGAGGAAAAGGCCACGAGACCATGTGCCACAGATGGGCACAGCTGGCACCCAGCCGGGAGAATTCAGACTAGACCTCTGTAATGAATTTAAGGGAAAACATGAATTAATGCAAATGCCAATTCCTCAAACGCAGACTTCATTCTCAAATTGCACACCAGTGGAGCCACTAATAAATTATTAGGTAGTTTCATTTTGAAATGCTTGTCCAACATTAACTAATTTGACCATATGATATTTTCAAAGGGATAATTATTATTCTCATCTTGCAGATGGGGAAATAAAGCAGGATGATCATCACATTTAAAAAGGAACATTATTTCATATTATGACTAATACCATATTCAGTTACCAATTTTATTAAAGGGTGAAAATATTTTGTCTGCATCAAAAAAAGACATGACTGACCCAATATGGGTAAGAAGTGTATTTTGAGCTTTCTTTTTAAATTATTTGCTCTCTTCCATAATCCACAACCCGCAGAAAGGATTTCAAGTGGCCTATAAAAATAACCATAATACAAAAGGATACAGTAAATAATCAGGAATGTTCTAATGAGGGGAAATATTAGAGCCATGGACAAGAAAGCAGCCCCATCCTATTCAGCTACTGGAAGTGGCTTAAAGCTTCCTAGTGAGTAAAGAAAATGAAAATAGTAATATGATTCATGATGTCATAGATGAAATGTGCTTTGAATTGTTTTTCCAGGAGTAACAGGTCTGGTGCCCCATTCAGGCCTTCTTGCCTGGTACTTCCAATAAACCTATCAACCCAGTCCCTGCCTGGGTGAATGTATAGCTCTGGCCATGAAACAGGTCAAAGCTAAAAGGCTTGCAAACAGATCAAATGCACAATTCTGCCCAAGATCAGAGCTTCTCACCTGGTGTGCCACTAAGGGGTCACAAGTGTGTTGTAAGCAACTGATATCCTCAGCCCTGGGATGAGGATGGGGCTACCTCCTTCATTTATCCCAGTGTTCCATGCAAATACTCTGATATTAATGCAAAAAGATTAGGAAGCACAACTACAGACAACTGAATTATTAAACCCATAGCATTATTAGTGAATAGAGACTAAAAATCAGACTCATAATCCAAAAGACTGGCAAGGATGCCATTTCCCTAATTCTATGTGTTACCCATGTGTATTAGTCCTTTCTCATGCTGTTAATAAAGATATACCTGAGACTAGGTAAGAGGTTTAATGGACTCACAGTTCCACTTGGCTAGGAGGCCTCATAATCATGGAAGAAGGCAAAGGAAGAGCAAAGGCATGTCTTATGTGGCAGCAGGCAAGAGAGTGCATACAGGGGAACTGCCCTTTATAAAACCATCAGTTCTTGTGAGACTTATTCACTATCACGAGAACAGCATGGGAAAACCTGCCCCCGTGATTCAATTACCTCCAACAGGGTCCCATCCATGGCACCTGGGGTTTATGGGAGCTACAATTCACAGTGAGATCTGGGTGGGGACACAGCCAAACCATATTACCATGTCCAGCTCTCTTTCATATGTGTGGCACCATGCCCCCACCTCCGCTCAAGAGCTCTGTTCTATTTTTAGATCAGGACCACTTTACTTAGCAAGGATCAGTTTATGAAATTTCAAGAGAACTAAAAAATAATATTTCTATATGAATATGAAGATGCAAACACATTAACATCTGTTTTTTCCCACCCAGGATAGAACCATGAACTAGGCTCTGGCTCCTAACCAGAGGTGCAAGTAATGAAAGAGACACTAGCTCACCTTAAGCAAACAAGCCAAAGGAAAAGTCTACATAAAAATATTAACAGACTATTTTTGCCAATAGTGGTAGAGCATTAATCAAAGGGATTTAACTAGCTTGCTTTCTTTCTTTTTTTTAGCCAACTTGCAAAAGTTGGTTCTCATTTTGGGAGCATGGGGGAGTAACTATTTCCAAGGATGCATGAAACCAATCCACTGCCACAATACTAAGATACAGGAAGTCCATCTTGGTCTGTAGCCCACCAATCTCCTGCCTTTGAGGTGGTCCTCCCACTGTTTAGAAGCTGATTCAGACAAAGGCAGAGGAAGGACAAAAGTGTGGGTTATTAGTCCTTGACCAGGGCTGGTGCTAATGAGACTCTAGACAATGGACACAAACAGATTGCCTTTCCTCCTCCCGCCTCCAAAGCTGCCTGGCATGTTGGTCAAAGAGGGGGCAAGCCTGCATGTCTGGCTAGAACGGTTCCTTCTCTACTGCTAGAGAGGTGCCTCAATGGGCATTCTTCTGGCAGGAGAACCTGCACATGATCAGAACATGATTTCTCATTATTAATTATTCACTCTATGTCCCTGCAAATCAAGGAGTGGGAAAGACCAGCTCTTCAACCTGAGCCACATGCACTGCACACCCTGAACAAGAGAGATTAAACGTATCAAAGGCAAATGTCCTCATACCACGGAGAACAGAACAAGCCAGATAAACTCCTTCACTCCAGAACTGCCTTTCCTCTCCTTTCTTAGCATCAAGATGTTCAAGTGGGCCAGGCATGATGGCTCAAGCCTGTAATCCCAGCACTTTGGGAGGCCAAAGCGGGTGGATCACCTGAGGTCAGGATTTTGAGACCAGCCTGGCCAACATGGTGAAACCCCCTCTCTACTAATAATACAAAAATTAGCCGGGTGTGGTGGCACATGCCTGTAGTCCCAGCTACTCAGGAGACTGAGGAAGGAGGATCACTTGAACCTGGGAGGTGGAGGTTGCAGTGAGCTGAGATCACACCACTGCACTCCAGCCCAGGCAACAGAGCAAGATTCTTTCTCAAAAAAGAAAAAAAAAATGATGTTCAAGTGATGAGTGAGTGCTAAACAAGCAGCCTTAAAAAGTTTGGATTACCTGTTCACAAATTTGAGTGCTTGGGAATTCATCCTGCAGATTAGGGCATGCTTTATCATCTCTGAAGTCTTCTTACAGATAATCTGTAACTAGTTGCAGTGACCTTGAAACACTAGCTATACACATTTTTCTAATTTATCTTATTGGTAGGATAGCCCCCTTTAAAGTAGTGGTTCTCAAGATGAGATCCTTAGACCAGCAGCAGCAGGTGCTGACCTGGGACCTCACCACACGTGCAACTCACAGACCTGACTTCAGACCTGCTGAACCAGAAGGTCAAAAGATGAGGCCCTGCAACCTGGTTTGAACAAGCCCCCCAGGTGATTGGGATGCATGCTCAAATTTGAGAATCACTGCCTTAGAGTGTGTTATTTCCTGCTTCCCTAGTGTTTCAACTATTTCCTAAATGTAAGCTTGGGCCTCTGTGTCCTTCATGGGCACATTTCCAATCAGCCACTTCTCAGGAGGAGTGCTTGATATTGTTCCTTCCCTCCTTGCTTTCCTTCTTCTCACCTCTGGTCAGCCTTTTTTGACCCTTAACTGAAGCAGAGAAGTACATACCACCACTGCCTCAGTGTCACCTGTGTCACCTCTGTGGGGTCTCTCCACCGGCCCCACTCCAATAATCTGCCTCATTCTCAGAATCTGAATGCCTTCCTCCTCTGGACTGGACTTCTCCTCGCCATCATGACTTACCTCCTGGCTTCAGATCACTTCACTTTGGTCACTGACAAGTTCGAACCTCCAAAACTGTGAAGTTTCCCTGGCTTCAAGACTCCTGCTCTGTTCTAATTTTTGACAATTGTGGATTATCAAGCCTTGTTGGTCTATTTTTTTATACTGTGTCTGGAAACATCATCATAGCTGTTGGCAGAGTAGCCCAGCTATCCCCACACTTGAGTGAGAATGCCTCTTCAGAACTCTTCCAAGCTAACCTCCTAAAAATGTGACACCCTCAAAGCATAGCTTTTACCATGCTATCCTTTCTCACCTCTCGTTTTTAAAAAATTCCAAATCTTTAATATTCACCATTATCCAAAAAAATAATGATCATGACAAAGGTCATGATGATAAAGATGATGATGGCCAATATTACGACGGCCAACCTCTACTACATGCTAGTCATGAGCAACTGTGAGCTACATGTATGTATGATCTGATTTCATTTTCAAAACAACCCTGTGAGGGGTGCTATTGCCTCTTTAACAGGTGAGAAATCTGAGTACTTTCAAAGTTCATGTAACTAATAAGTGACAGCAATAGGACTTGAACCCAGTCTGTAACCTATAAATGTCCATAATTCTTGTACTGATTCCTATTCTTCTAATGCCTTGACAAGGCAGCCAAAGCCCAATGCAACCTGATTTCCCATTACTCTCTGCTCTACTTACTGGCCCCAGCACACCTGCCTCCAAACCCTTGCTAATGCCCAGGAGGCCCTGTCCTGCCCTTCAGCCTCTCTAAACCTTAATCCATGCCTCAGAGCCCAGCTCAAGACTTACCACTTCCAGGGATAAGTGTCCACTTTACATGGATTATACATGCATGGATGAAGGGCTAGGGCTGTCAGATAATATAACAGAAAATACAAAACATCTGGCTCCTGGACACAGAAGTCCTGAATGCCAGTTAATCTGGGTGGGAGGAGGAACAGATGGGGGTAGCATTTAGGAAGCTGTATTATTTCAGGTGTGATGTAATAATGGCTAGAGTTAGGGTTTTAGCTCTGGGAATGACATGAAAGGTACAGGATCCAAGAAATATGAAGAAATAATTCACAGGCCTTAGGAGGGACTCAATATTGAGTGGAAATGAAAGGAGAAAGAAGAATTCTGAGTCCTCCAATTCAGATAGGTCAAACAAAGCAAGAGCAAAGCCTTCATCCTTACAGCATCCCTATAGGGGTGACAAGGTGGGGACAATGCAAGGAAAAGAGGCAAGGAGATTCTTGCAGTGGCCTAACAGTGGGGCCAGCTCTGCAGCCAGTCTTCTGACCCAGGACCACCTCTGAAGTGCACTTGAATCAAGCGCAACCCCAAAATGACCATCTGAGAAAGAGAGAGAAAGACAGATGAAACAGGATGGAGAACGAGGCTCAGTCCAGGTAACGCAGGTCTCAAAGCACCTAGCAAGGAGTTTGGACTGATCTCAAGAGCAACCAGATGCTGGGTCCCAAGTCTGTGGCTCGCACTGCCAAGCTCGAAGAGGCAAAGGTTAAAGAACTTGTCACACCAAAGTGGCTTAAATGTACACTGTTGAGTTTTCTGTACATAAAAATAATTAAAATAATACAATTTTTCCTTAAAAAAAGAGCACCAGATACCACGGAAGGGTTTTAAGCAAGGGGGTGATGCGATTTATTTATATTTTATAAAAGTCACTCCAGCTTCACCCTCATTCCTTCTGCCAGGTCCTTCTCTTCCTCCTTCCTCTTTTCCTTTCATGGCCCAGGATCCAATTCCTTCACATTCCAGGACAGCAGAGTGTGAGCATGCCCAAGCCATGCCCCCTGAAACCCCGGCTGTAGTGCAATGTAGTCACACAGAAGATGCCCAATAAACACAGGTTTAAAAATGAATAGATACAAAATGGAATCTGGACACATTTTTGTTTTACATGTAATTTCCAACAACAAGGTTCTCACAGCCAAAGATGTGGTTAGGAAACATCCTTGTTGCTGCTAGAGTTCGAAAAATATCCAAGTTGTATTTTCCCTTCCCGCCCCGCCCCCCCCCCCCACCCCCCTCCCACCCTCCAAGTTTCTCCAGAGTTTTCAGCTGGGTTTTTTTTTTTTTTTCTGCTGTCTCATTACTGAGCTCCTCTTTCTCCTCCCCATGAACTTTTGTCCTGCCATTCTTTCCCTTTCAATTAGAACTGTCTTTATCCCAAGTCTCTCTTTGGTATTTCATCAGTCTTCACATCCTCCCTTTTTGGTCTGTTCCAGGAACAAACACAGTCTTTTTTCTTCAGACACTGTCTGGGAGAGCTGTGCCCAACTCTCTAATTTCCCCCCACTGCCGTCCCATAGTCCTCCCATCAACCCTACTCCCTGGCTTGTAATGCAGTTTATGTTTTGTCTTAAAAGTAGTCTTTTGTTTCTTTACAGGCCAAGATCACATTTAACAAGGTACATTTTACTATGACTCTGGATATGATAATGTGGTGATGCCAGCTTTCCAGTGCTGCTCCACTGGGGATGCCCTGCCGAGCACTCTGCTCTCCATGTATCTAAGCCTGCACACTTTCTAAACCAACCGCTGGGGAAAATCACCAGGAGTCCTAGATTCCTGGGCTGCTAGTGAGCAATCAAGGAGGCTCTCCTGCATTTGGCTATGGATGAACCCCCACCCCTCGCCCCACCCAGAGAGGCCAGACGACTGAATGCTAAATCCTACAGATTAGCTAGAAAAATGCTCAGGAAATCAGAGTTGAAGAGTTGTTCAACCAGTAATATTTAGCCATTTGGTGTATTATGAGCATCATGAGTCATTCACTTTTTTTATTATTACTGTTTTCTGGTACAAAAGGCTGCATTATTTTCCTCAAAACTCTTTTCATGGTCTCATCAATAGTGCCTACCAGTGTTTTTTTAAATCTTTGATATTTAGGGTATAACACAATAGATGTTAAATCTACAGCTCGCTATTTAGGTGTCAAATGCTTGCTTATAGAATGAAATGTGGAAAAATAGCTCATTTGCAAAACTAGAGAGCTCCATGATAGGGTTCTATAAACAAATATTTTATTGTTTTAGAAACTAAGTTTATGATAGATACATTTTTATTAAACTCTATAAGTGCAGTCTCCTTGCACGGGTAGTCTCCATCTCCTCCCGTGGTTGTTTAACAAGGTTAAAAAGAGCATTTCATGATCTTCTTCCTTAAATAAGATACCCATGACTGCTTAACTAAATTTGCCAACACCTAAACACTATTTTGTATTAGTTAAAATATGTTATAAAAAGTAAATAAAACATAGTTAACAATTATAAAAATTTCCATCTGTCACATTTGGTTGAATTTACTTACATAATTTGCAAGTATTGTTTTCATTCTATTTATTTCTTGCTACTCATATTTTGTTTTCAAAAAATAGAACTCAATTTGACAATGCTTTTCTACTTTTCCATGTAACTGATAATTCTGTTAAACAATATTTATTGAATGTTGAATATATATATATATTCTGAGACCAAAAAAAAAAAAAACAGTTGATTGAGACATTCATTCTCAAGTAGACTGCCCTGTGGTCTACTTGAGAACAAGGACCAAATGAACCGATACAGTCCTGGTAAAAGGCAGAGAATGAGGACGGGAAACTGAACTGAAGAGGCTGTAGGAACTATTTGTGAGGAGATGAGTCTTGGGCTTTCAGCAGTGGAATGGGTGGGGTTGGGGCTAGTTAAACAGCAGAGGGAATGTCACTGGAAGAGTAGGGAAGAGCAAGACCACAGGCACAGGGACAGGAATGTGATTTGACCATAGTGAAGAGTGAAGAGACCAACGGGCTGAGTCCAAGGGCTCCCATGTGCAAGTGAGAGGAGGTTAGGCTGACTGTACACAGCTTTAAGTGCCAGATTATTCTCCGGGAAGACAGAAGTCCTAAAGTTTCCCCCAAAATATAAACGGTCATTCTGGCAATTATATGGTGGCTTATGAAAGCACACACTGTGTGACCTTAACTCATTTTCAGGTGCTCACTTACACTCATGAGAGTAAGGCTGCTTCAAACATGAAAAAGCGGGGCAAGGATATATGCTCGTATCCAAATATTTTTCCACTGTTTTGCATTACCTGAGAAGTGTGGGACAAGAAAAAGCAAGTAGCTCAGAGATCAACAGCTCTGTTTTTGACTGAGCTGCCGATTTCAAAGCGGATGTTCTGCAAGCAGCTCTCGGTAAGGAAGCTGAGAAAGCACAGCTGCTTGGAGAGCTTAAGTGGTTTAGCTTAATTCCTCTGTAAACTGTATTTTAAATGACTATGAAACCACATTTCTGTGACTGGTATTGTTTAAAGAGATGGAAGCCCAGCTAAAATGCTTTGGTTTTCTTTCATAAATATTCAGATTTATTCTAAGACTTTTCCTTCACAGTCTCTGAGAATCAGCCACTTGCAAGCAATGAAGACTGGGCTGCCCAATGTGTGTCCTGAGACCTCTGTTTGTCACAAGCATTTAATTTTCTTGGAGCTATAGTAGACTGTAGTTTTTCAGGTTGCTTGATAATGGGGCTTTCTATAAATAAAAGAAGCAAGAGCAAATGTACTCCACCCTGATTTCCTCAAAGACAAATTCTCCCACCCCAGTAAATATAAGCATACAGCTTAAAGGTCTGTTTTTTGAATAACAAATAAAGCAACTAAGTCTCAATCTTTTAATGAAAAAAAAATTAAGGCTAATTCTAGGAATAAATGGAAGTGAAAGATAAGTCCTTCACCGAGATCAAGGACTCACTGTGAGCACATGGTGGAAAATACGTAAAGGTGGTGTTTTAAAGACCCTCAGAAAAGTTTGATTAAAAAGCAAGAGCCACAGATGTATAAAAAAAGGAAAAGGCATCAATAAGAATTAAGCCTCTCACTCTGTGACAAGTGATTGAGACCCTTTACATTCAATATCTCATTTACTTTTTACGAATATCATATGCAGTGAATTCTGTTTCCATACTCCTAGATGCAGAAACCGTAGCTCAAGGGGATTAAGTAACTTGCCCAAGGTCACAGTTATAAGTGGTGAAATAAGAATGCAAACCCAGGTCTCTTTGGCTCACAACAGTCCATGCTATATTCATTACACCACAACAAGGAGAAGGCTTCCAGAAATAATAGAAACTTCAAGAAATATATTTTACATATAATTGAAAAGGGCTACTGACTGAACATGTCTATCAGAAAACTTGAAACTGTTCTCTCTGTCTTTCCCAGAAAAAATATAGTTCATGCAATAATCTGCAGTGCATCCTCACTGGGTCCTTACCGTTGGGAAGCCCTGTTGCTAAGAAGCATGTCCCCAAGAAGCATCCAAGCCAATTGGAGAGCTATAACACAGAGAGATAAAAAGATAGCTTATAAAGAACAGTATATCATTAATATTGAAATGAATGACTATAAAGACTACAAAGTGTTCTAGTTAAGATGAGAGAGAGCTACTTTTATATTGGGCTGATCAGTGGAGAGATCAAAGCAAAGGTGAGAGTGGGACTTAATCTTGAAGGATGGGCAAAATTTTAATCTGCTCACAGTGTTGACAGGATAATGAAATGCCATCTATGAAAAAAAAAAAAGCCCAGACACAATGGGGCGTTAGTAGAAGTCCAGTCCCTATCCCTACCCGAAGAAAGACAAACCCCCTGGCGAACATCTCATGCAATAAAATGGAGGATAAACCCTTCAGCATAATCAGGGACCCCACGTGAGTTTGAGACATAGGTCAGGAAAGAAGAAGGGCAATATTAGCATGAGTCTTAGAATCTCTAGTTGCTAAACTTAGAGGAAAAATGACAGTGGCCTTTTTAAGAAAAAGGGGTGCAGAAAATATGAGTCTGCAGCTGAGTAGGTCTACAACTCCAAGTATAGAACCTTGTCAGCACTCGAGTTTTGTATTCCTGGGAGCTATCCAGGGTACTGACCTATTCCATTCCGATGTCACTGACCCAGTGGACCAAGGCTTGCCTTAGTGTTTCTGCACACGCAACATGGGAACCTCTTTACTTCATCCACTCTGAAACTACTGCTATTTATGACCTCAATTACTTTCCAAGCCAAAATGCACCTTGTCTGTTGCCTGTCATGGTTTATAATTCTAGGCCATCAATTTGGCTTCCAATTGGCATTCCAACAGGTAAAGAAAACAGTGGAGGCATTGTAAGTGAAAACAACACTTTAAATAAGGGTCAGAAACAATAAATTGACCCACTTGCTTAAACTAGAGAACTTACACAGGGAAACTGTAGAAATGAACCTGGAAATGCAGGCTGAAATTAGCTTGTGAAAAGTACTGATTTCAGTGATAAGGCATTTTGACTTTTTGCATAGGCAACTTCAGCATTCTGAAACTTTGAACAGAGATGTGACAAAAGGAATGTTGGGAAAATCAATATAGAAATATCATGCCAGTGGGTCAGAGAGTAAACAATCAAGTGGCAGGCAGATAGTCCAAAGAAGGAGCTAAAAGTTTTTAGAACATACACTTTAACTGACAATTCTTTTCAGAGATATTGGATGTCAAGGAAAAAGTTTTCCAAGAATTCAAGATCACATTCCCTTCTGCTATTTACAGAAAGCTTATTATTGGGATGTCTGTATATATATATCTTTGTGTGTATGTGTGCATGTGTATATGTGTATATATATATATACATACACACATATGTATACATACATATGTATTTTTACATATATATGTAAAATCTCCCCAATACTAACCAACATGCAAATCCTAAGAGAATGTTCTGTGATGTCCTGCATCTGCCATTGGCTGAAAATGTGTCTCTTCATCTCCCAGTCTCCAGTCTCCTCCCATTTTGTTATAAATAATCTGACCAATTTCTCAATGCTGAGTATCTGTCACTTCTCTTTTGCAGAATTAGCTAGGCAAAGCATATCACTTATGGCTTACTAGGGTGCATCTCCTTCTGTCCATCAGCCCATCCAGCAGTTGCTCTGGGAGTCAGCTGCCTCCATCTTACACAGATGAGCAGGGAAAGAGGAACTGAGGATCAAGGGCCTGAGGTCTGGCTAGGGTCCAGGTCCTTGGTAACAGTACTCTGGAAGTAATGTCATGTGGATTCTGTGATGTGATGCCCTTGCACCATAATGCAGTTGCCAGATTTAGGGCAGTCTAAACTTCTCCATATACCCTAAAATAAAGGGCTAACCAAGCCCACTTATCAGCTGCCTAGTACCTATGCCTCCAGAAAAATAAGGCAAAACTGGACTAGAAATCTTTTGATCTAGCCATAAAATGTTGCCAAACTGTCAACACATTCTCAGGATACTGCTGCTCCTCTCCACCCACCTGTCTCTAGGCTCTCTTTGGGAGTTGCTTTCTGCTCTAAGCCAAGTTATCTCACAGCAGCATCCACTGCTTTCTAGCATTCAACTAAGTACACCCTACCAATGATGCACATTCTCATTCTTTGGAGTCAAACAGAGATTCAAATTCTGCTTCTACTAATTATTGGTTGTACCCTCACACAGCTCCACAACCTCTGTAAGCCTCAGTTTCCTTACCTATCAAAGAGGAATGATTGAACTTTCCCCACAGAGTTGTTATAAGGATAAATTTAAATAAAGGATCCACTTAGCAAGGCCTGGAAAATGGAAGCATTCAATAAACTATGAATTGTGGTGCTAATAAAATGATATCATTTCTGTTCTTTGCAGAATATTCACATGACAGTTGGTTTTCCCACAAGCTGAAACATTGCAAACATTAAGTCTCCTGTCTGCCTCTTTGTGTGTGGGTCTATCTTTTAATCCAGCTCCACTTATTTTCTTCACTTTTACTTCTTCTGGGTTCCAGTCCTTGGCATGGATTACTGTCCAGCTAGAACTAGCTGTGACTAGCCTTGCTGCTCCCTGTTGGAGGTAGAAAAGGATGCTTCAGAAAATACAAGGTGCCACACTCTTAAAATGAACACTTCCCTAAATAAGTTGGAAGCATTTGGGTAAAATGGCACAAAACACTTTGGAGAAGCACAGTTTGATTTCAGTGTGCAAAAGATGTAAAAACTAGGAGAAGGTAAATATGTTCTTATTTCCCACCTTCAATATACGGTACTTACTACTAAAATACTAACTATACTAAATTGCCTCACACTTCACGTTTCTCCTTAGTGAGGGTAAAGATAGCAAAAAATACTTGCTACCAAGATTTGGCCATGGAGTACTGTAATATTTTGCACTCCAGATGAGGCTGCACCACTAGGCTATCTCATGCCCATTAACAATTGCACAAGGCTCAACTAAATTAATGATGTTCCTGAGTCAGCCTGGAAACAGCCGGTGCTTTTCTAAAAACAAAAACACTGGACCAACTAGAAAGATAGCTTTCATACTGTTCTCCATGGAATAAGATGGGGGTAAAGTTTTCACACATGAATTAAACTAAACTGAAATAAGCTGGGCCATTGTTTTAATAAATTGAGGGAATGTGGCTGGCAGTAATTAGAATGGCCTGAATAAAGAACACGTTGAACTCCCTACGCTGGGGGGAAAGCACTTGGAATATTTCATTAGGAGGAGGAGACAAGTGGATTTAAAACATATCATGTTTTTAGACGACTACGTTTCCCATGCATATGAGGCACAGTATAAATAATACTATAAAAAAATGCCATGTTCTTAAAATGCAATGGTTTCCCCAATATATAACATGAATGTAAACAAGATGTCTGTCAAGCATAGCAATAACATATTGCTTAACACAGCAAGCTTATAATATGCACCTATTATTCTTGCTTCTCTTAATGAAAGAATCTGAGGACACTGCATAAATTCTTCAACACATGTTTCACTTCTTCAGCTGCCTTGTGCTGTAGAACATCATGCTAACAAGAAGTGATGCTAACAAGAAGCTAAAACCAGTGTAGCAAAGGGGGCATTTAAATATATATAAACATAATGGCATTCACAAAGAAAGGAGCTATTGGAGGCAACTAAATGGATCCCTAGACAGACATATTTTAGTTTAATATTCCATGTATTTTTCTACATGCTAACTATTTCAGTTCTGCTCAATAGCAGGAAAAAACACGCCACTGGAGAACAAGAAGTCAGCATGCAATTATCTCCTGGGCTCATATACCAAAAACAATTATTTTTTGGGAAAGGAAAAAGACAGCCTCTTGAATTTCACAAACTTTCTTTGGTCACTTTAGAGCCGCCCTTAAATACCAATATTTGCAGACAGCAGCTAAAGAAACAAAGATTGCACTGCTTATACTAAACAACCCATCTGGCAGCTCATGTGCATTCAGAAAACCTGGATCATTTTATGCACTGGCCCACTAAAGTTGGAGAATCAGTTTCAGATCTTACTCTCTTAAACATTTGTTCAGCATCACCAGGGAAATCAGTTCTTGTTGTTGATTGAGGCCAAACCTAAAAAGCAGTGATTTCTGTTATGTATTCAGAATGAAGAAATGGCTGGTCTTTTAGCCTAAATTATCCAGGTGTTTGGCCAACCCTTAAGCAGATGGCAGCCCTCATCTCACCATACTAGGCTTCATTCATCTGTTGACATCCTTTAGATTCCACAGCCTTCATCAATAAGCACTGTCAGTAAGCAATGCTTTTGCAGAGAATTGAACATTTTGAAAATGGCATTTTTGGTCAATTAAAGCAAGTTTCACATTAAAAGGAGAATTTGGGATCCTAAAAAGGCAATATATTGAAAATAGTTCAAGAGCCACACTTGGGTTGGAGAGGAGGGGGATAAGTACAAGCTATTTTTAAAACAGAAAAGAAAAATAACCTGTTGAATTTACAGATTATTGGAAAAGATATTTGGTGTACACCCTGCTTCAGTCTGAAGAATACAGTGTAGCTCTCACTCATTTGTGATTATTCTTAAAAAGTAAAGGTAGCAAACAGATGCAATGATACATTCTACTACACATGCAGAGAACTCTGTCCCTTTTACTACAGCCTGTACTATGCCTCAGGCTCCAGGAAACCAGTCTGATCTTGGCCCAGATCTCACAGGCAGTCCAAGTTGGTCTGAACAGGTTCCAAAAGAACTGTGCTCCAACCTAACTGGGCACTAGTCAATGACTGTAGAGCATCATTTAAGCTGAAAGGGATAGTTATCTAGGCCTAAAATCAGCTGGAAACATACAGCTGCCATGTCAGCAGTCTGCCTTTGCCGGAGGCTCTGGCACACTTAGTTGGGATCCTTTGTTATTTCCATCCAAGCTGACATGATTGCTTAAAAAGGAGGATGCCATGTTTGTTTGTTTTGCCACACTTTATTTTTTCTTCCTCCTCTATATCCAAGAAACAACCAAATAAGAAATTAAAGGACCTTTTAATATTTTCTTCTTATTCCATTTCAATTGGAGAAAATCTTTCATTAAATACACTCAACTTATTTAGAAGGAACACAGTCTAAAATATTTGGTATTGTGCAACTCATTCCTTATATGTTATTTAGAATGAAAATCTCATGAAACATACATGGTATGATTCTTCTTAATAAAACTTTTTTATTCCATTTGTGCTAGGATTTTTTTGAGAAAGAGAGGATGGATGGCAAAGATTATATACCATACAACTTATTTTCCAAGTAAACCAGGGCATCAAGAAAAGCCCAAGTCTTACAGGATCAAACCCTCGTATTTTCCCTAACTGATATTATTCAAAATGAGTTTTAATGGTGAGAGGATAACTTCCATGGGGCAACCATTTTCCACATGGATTTCCAACTCCAAATCTCCTTAGCAATGACCTCAGCTTGACTCCAAATTTAACTATACACATCTAACCTCAAGTGCAGCTTCTCCAGCAAACCCCAGATAGTCCTTATTTTTCTTTCTAAAGTAATGTGTATATTGTATCCAGGCCATGATGGTGGTGATTATTATATTAATAAAGCTACTGTTCCCTGGAGATGTGGCTTTGTGGTTTCCAAAGAGCCTTCTACCCTAGCCAAGGAGGAGGCAAAAACTCTTGTATGGGTTGTTTTGCAATGGTTTGTGGCAAAGAATAGCAGAATGTCACAAGAAGGAAGTAAGAATTAAAGGGGAAGGGAAATTTGAAGAGAATACAGCTAGGATTCCTTTCCAGTGGCATGCTGAGCACAGGCTATGGAGCAGTGTTGAAAATGCAGTAGGATGGACCTCACTATCCATGGAGCCTCGGACGCCCTCTACAGACAAGCTCCCCAAGCTGTGGCCGGAAAAGGCAGCAGAAATACACATGCAGACCCTTTCTGGGTCATCGTCAGGGCAAACTCATGTGTCCCATGGAACAGATACCTCCTTGCATACAAAATACAGGCGAGCACCTACATGATAATAAGCACATTATTCACCACTATTTCTGCAAGCTGCTCTAAAATCAGAGGCTTTGGGGAATAAGAAGGCAAAAGAGATACATACAGAGGTAGAATAGAAGTCAGATAACAATGGTAGAAGTTCCTGGAGAATATTCATAGAAAAGAATTAAATATTCAAAACTTACTTTAAGATCAGAAAAAAATCTAGTGATGTAATTTTTCTTCCCCTCCGTGCTTTAAATATCCTAACATGCTAGAAACATTGAATGAAAGTGGTGGTTTCTAACACACTCCACATGTAGCATTATCCTTACCTGTGATTTTAAATTAGTTCAGCTCACAACGTGCCTGAAGGAGTGGTTCACTCTCTCCACCAACTGCTGTTCTCCATCTCCATTTTTCAAGGAGTCATTGACTCAAGCTAATATATAAAAAATGTCCAGGATGATTCTGACTTGGTGGAACCAACACATCAGACCTGGCCATCTGGAGTGGAATGTGCCTGGGATTCAATCTCAAGGGTGCCCAGTATGGGGAAACGCTGACCTCTGACTTGAACATCATTTCAGCCCAAGAGTGACCAACAGAAGATTCAGATTTCATGGCCCATGGAGGCATCCCGGCACCAGTTTGTTTGTGGTTGTTTTTTAAAGCCCCTCTGGTGATTCTGACATATAAGCAGGGTCAGAAATCCTTATGCAGAGCAAGATTACTATGCTTGGAAGCTCTGTCTCCAGATGTAACATGGTCCCTTCCCCATTGCTTTGACATTTTACAATTCTACAGGGCTTCCTTCATTCACTTAATAAATATCAATTGAGTATCTACAATTTGTAAGGCACTGTCCTAGGTGGTGGGGGTAAGCAAAGTCTCAAAACAAGGTCTGAGACTTGTGGATTTCACATTTTTGAAATATTAAAAACAATATTTTACAAGTACTTGGAAAAAAAATCAAAAAGCCTACCTTTACTTGGTGACAAAACAAAAGCATTTTAAATGCCAGATTGAGTTTTCAATAAAGTATTATTTTTAAAAACGTCTTTGTGTTGTGGTTTATAGGATAGGTTGTTGTATTTTTAAAAAAAGAGATTCCCATTTCCATAATGAAATCTTCGAGTCTAATCACCAGGATAAGTAAAGATAGTCCTTATTGTCCAGGGCATTAAACTTAATCAACCTCTTCTTTAAGCTCATGAAAGCGTTTCTTTCACCTGCCTCAACTGGAAAACAGTCATTTGTAAAGAAGATGAACTCACAATCAAAAAGTAAATAAATAAATCCTCTGTGCAGTGGATACACTGAGGAAAGTTAGTGATTCTTTCCTTTGCATAAAGAAGTAATTTTATGGATTTACTTTCAGATATAAAAATAAAACGAGGTAGAATTTAGATCTTTCCACTGCCTACTATTTTACCCACGTCTGAATTTTTGTAGTTGTCTTGGCCACACATCTGTGAGCAAGTATCTACTAGGGCATATTTCAGAACCATTCATCCCTTATACCCCCAATCACCCCAAGATGTTATATGTAAATAGCATATGGGGGAACAGAAGGGATGGAGAAATGGGCTTAAAAATTAAACATTTTTAGTCATGTTATCTAAACCAGGGACAGATCAGAGTCTTGTTCTGAGATGCTTCACTAGTGAACCTTGGAACAACAATCTAAATTCAATGGTGAGACAATTGGCTGAAAACTCTACGGGATTTCCTAAATTAACACAAAACCCAGAGGCCCCAGCAGGTGGCCAAGTTTGATATTCAAATCATTAACATTTGGCATGTGGAGTTTCCATTAGGACAAGTTTACCACATGATGGACAATCTGTGTAGATTTGCAGATGTGCCGTGCGTGGCCATCTAACCTGTGTGGAGAGAATAATTCCCAGCAATCTCCACCTGACTATTGCTGAAGGCAATGTCCAATCAAAGTGCAGAGCTCAGAGAATAAATGAGTTGCTTTGACAGGAAATTCCAACAGCAATTTTAATTCTGATCAGGCTTCAGGAAATGGAAAGAATAAAAACACATCAATTATAGTGACAGGAAGTTTTAAATCACATGGCGAGCAGCTGCTGCCAAAAGATGTGTCTGCCAGCTTTGTTAAGGAGCCCAGTATTTTGGTGTGACCAAAATTTTACACCAAAATGTTACAGGCTGACATCACTCCCTAATTGCATGTTATCTCTCTACAAGGGTAAAGAAAATGACACGCTACTGAAAGCATATCATTATTGCAAAAAAAAAAAATCAACTCAACTATAAGGGTTTGGAACACATTTAAAAAAATGAGCACATACAAATATACTGCTCTGCACAGCAAGCAGATCTGCCTGCCAATTAAGTCGCAACCATACATGGCTGATTATAATCTTGTTTAATCAACACTCAGGGAGGACCACTCATTCCACTTCATGACAAAGGGCTAAATTCTTCTTTCCTGCCCTCTAGGCCTCCTATTGAATAGGCTCTTTCTCTTTAAGGTGTATTTCTTAATACTTTTAATCTAGATCCACAGGAAAGAATGCCAAAAAAAAAAAATCATGGTCAATAGAGGACAAGTCAACACAGGATGGGCTACACTGTCTGGGGGGCAGGGAGAGAGGTGACTTTCTATATGGTGTATCAAACAGGCCCTACCTTCAAAAGAGTTTTAACTCAGAGTCACTCTAGACAAATTATAACATAAATTCATTTTCCTAGGATTTATAAAGTGCCTTTCTATAAAGTTCAAAGGGGGCTCAGGACTTTCTCTGGTTTGTTGCTTTTCCTGCTTCCTGCTTAGGAACCTGGGGATAGATGTTAATGACCATGTGCTAATAAACGACCCATGGAAGAGGTTATAACTCAATTTCTACTTTTCCTCACCCAATTAAAGGCTTCCCTTTTTCCTAAAATTCCATAGGCCCTGGCATATCCCTCCTTTCTTAGCTGATAAAATCCTGGTCTATCAACTTTCACTGATAAACTACAGATAAATTTCTATGTTGGTCTTACAAGTTATAAGCAATGGCATCGAACAAGTATTTAAAAGTTATTTTCACTGTTCTCAGTCTAGCAGTGTTTACTAACATTTGACATATTTGGGGTTTTAGAAATTTAAAAACATGCCCTTCAGTTGGATACAGAATAAATTTTACTGTTTAGCTTTCATATGGGGATAAATAAAACATAAACAGAATTGATGAGAAAGATCACGGATTGACATTCTAGGCTCCTGGAGGGTAGAAACAATATTTTAGAGTCATTTGTAATTCCCACAACACACAGCAACACCATGAAATAATAAGCAACTTGGTTTCTGATTTCTCACTGGCCTTGCCTGTGTTTGTTTACAGGTGGCATAGTTTAGGGGAAAGAGTATGGGATTCTGAGTCGGACTGAGCTGTGTGTGAAACCAATTCTAAATGTTTAATAACTGTAACTTTAGGCAAACTTCTTACTCTCTTTTTGTCAGTTATCTTCTCTGAAAATAGGAATAGTAATAATACTTAACTCATAAAGTTGCTGAGGGGATTCAATGAAACACTGAATTTAAAGTAGTCAGTGTTAAGGCTTGATATCTAGCAAATAGAAACATTAAGTAATATAAGCACGCATTATTAGTAATGTTGGTGTTAACAATCCTCGTCAGTTTACCCTTTTGCCTCATATTTTGCCATGATGTTTAGGACGCTCTCAAGCTTGGCACATTTCTCCAAGAAGACCACCTTCCTTTAAGCTAAACTGACACCACCTTAGGATTTAGGGCTTAGGGCTCAGGGCTCTTCACCGAGCAAGCCTGGGCAGATGGTGCTGCAGGGATGTTCTAGTCCCACCTGAAGCCGCTATATACTGTGTCTGGACTTGCCTAAGAAAGTGGCCATCAACAAGCAAGCTATTGCCAACCCTAGTTACTCTGTAGCAGCCCAGCTTCTGCTATAATTTGTCCAGCACCAACACTTCACAGACTGAAGGCTAAATGCCTTCTGCCGGCTCTTCTCTCAGATAACTGCCCTAGGAGGGGAAAGGTGGAGAAGATGGTTTCTCTTGCCTCCCTCTCAAGCTGACTCTGAACTGAGGGTCCATCATCAGGGCTAGCAGGCCCCGCTTTCACTCAGCCCTAAGGTAATTAGTGGCATAAGACAGGATACTATTAGCTTGGTGCAAACATAATTGCAGTTTTTGCATTGTTGAAATTTGCTGTGTGATATTGGAATACATTCTTAAATAAATGTAGTTATGTTATATATCACTTTAATGGCCATTTCTCACTTTTTTTTTGCTAATGACTTATTACTTGCTGTTTATTTTATATTTATTTTAGACAATGGAAATGATGTTAGACAAAAAGCAAATTCGAATGATTTTCTTATTCGAGTTCAAAATGGGTCGTAAAGCAGTGGAGACAACTCACAACATCAACAACGCATTCGGCCCAGGAACTGCTAATGAATGTACAGTGCAGTGGTGGTTCAAGAAGTTTTCCAAAGGAGACAGGAGACTTGAGATGAGGAGTATAGTGGCCAGCCATCGGAAGTTGACAATGACCAATTGAGAGCAATCGTCGAAGCTGATCCTCGTACAACCACATGAGAAATTGCCGAAGAACTCAACATGGACCATTCTATGGTTGTTTGGCATTTGAAGCAAATTGGAAGAGTGAAAAAGCTGATAAATGGGTGCCTCGTGAGCTGAGTGAAAATTGAAAATATCACCATTTTGAAGTGTCATTTTCTCTTATTGTACTCAACAACAATGAACTATACTCCATCGGATTGTGACATGTGACGAAAAGTGAATTTTATACAACAACCAGCGATGACCAGCTCAGTGGTCAGACCAAGATGAAGTTCCAAAGCACTTTCCAAAGCCAAAGTTGCACCAAAAAAGGGTCGTGGTCACTGTTAGGTTGTCTGTTGCCAGTCTGATCCACTGCAGCTTTCTGAATCCCGGTGAAACCATTACATCTGAGAAGTATGCTCAGCAAATTGATGAGATGCACTGAAAACTGCAATGCCTGCAGCCGGCATTGGTCAACAGAAAAGGCCCAATTCTTCTCCACAACAATGCCTGACCACTCATTGCACAACACACAACCAATGCTTCAAAAGTTGAACGAATTGGGCTAAGAAGTTTTGCCTCAACTGCCATATTCACCTGACCTCTCACCAACTGACTTCTTCAAGCATCTCGACAACTTTTTACATGGAAAATGTTTCCACAACCAGCAGGATGCAGAAAATGCTTTCCAAGAGTTCATTGAATCCCGAAGCACAGATTTTTATGCTACAGGAATAAACAAACTTATTTCCAGTTGGCAAAAATGTGTTGATTGTAATGGTTCCTATTTTAATTAATAAAGATGTGTTTGAGCCTAGTTATAATGATTTAAAATTTAAACTGTGATTACTTTTGCACCAACCTATTACTAACTAGAAGAATCTATGAAGAAATAGCTAATTCCTAAGTTTGAAAAGAAGATACACACTCTTACACCCTATGCTTGCAGTGCTAATACAATAGACTAAATGTTTATGTCCCCCCCCCAAATTCAGGTATTGAAATCCTAACCCCCAAGGTAAGGGTATTAGATGTAGGTCCTTTGGGAGATAACTGGGGATTGGTACTCTTATAAAGAGACCCTAGAGAGATCCCTTGCCCCTTCTATCATATCAGGAGACAGAGAAGATGCTTTCTATAAACCAGAAAGCCAGGCTTCACCAGGTGCCAAGTCTCCTGGAATCTTGATCTTGGACTTTCCAGCCTTCAGAATTGTGAGACACAAATTTCTGTTATTTATAAGCTACCCAGTTTATGGTGTCTCATTATAGCATTCTAGATGGACTACAGCAACTAATAATCTGGGATGTTCCAGGATGCTTTGCATGGGTGGATGAGGGAAGGGCAGGTATTTACAATATCACTTGATAGTAGTATAATATCAACATGTTAAATAGTTATCAAATTTCTTCATAAGTAACAGCAGAGGCTTCATCAGAGATTCTCATTGTTTGGGAAAGGGTTATCCACTGAGGAACCGAATAAATTTTCACATCACTTCAAAATTTTCTTTCAGTCTTTCACAGGGCAGACTGCAAAGAGATTCCAAACCCAATTCTCCAAGTCCCAACCCAGTAAGCACACTCTACTGTTTCATTTAATATTTTTGTTTCCTGTTCTTTCCACTTGGCTTTGTTTGACATCTGTCTATATTAACTATATTTTCCACTTACATTACTAGCTCTGGCAGCTCAAAGAAACAAACCTTTTGAGTCTGGCTGCATTATTCCTCAGTATTTCCTAGATCTCTAGGTTTTGCATCATCAGCAGTCTTTGATACCTAAATCTGTACACTTGGTAGTTGACATTCATGGAGTGCCAGCAAGATGATGGACCTTGTATAGGAACAGGAGTAAGGCACATGTTCTCAGCCAAGCAATTATGGGACTATAAAGCCCAGGCAACATTTCTTATATCAAATTTTAAGGAAGTTATTGGGAGTGGTGTTTAAGATTTGTCATTTTTAGATATTTAAAAAAGTCTAGACGTTTGCAAGCCAAACTGTTTAACACCTAAAGAAACCCTTTAATATAGTATCATTTCTGCTATATAAATATCACATGCTTTCCTGTCCTTCCCTTCTCTGATTATGGAAACCCAGGGAAAAAATGAAGAAACACATGAACAGGACTTTCTTGAGTCACAAATCCATACTGCAAGTGCTAGTGAAAGCACTCCCTTATTTATATTTCTCAAACTGTCTTCACATAATAGTTGAATTTTTTGTCTGACTCCTCAACATCACAGCCCTTCAGGATGAATAAATGTGTGTTTCTTTGGAAATCAGCCTGTTGTGGGAGAGCTCCAAAACATGCTTGTGTTTGGTAGCTGAAACCAGGAAGCTATTTTTAACCCTCCCTTTTCAAAGCTTACTGTGCCAAAATATATAAAGACTTATTAAGAAATGAAGAAAAAAGAAAACAAATTTAAGAAAGGTCACGAGGAAAGAGTTTATGGCAGAATTTGCAATTTATTTATTACTTTATAATAAAAAGATGGCAATTTTTTTAAGAGGCCATGGAGCCTGCCACTTTGAGCAAAGCATAAAAGCAAGTGATTGTGGATTTCACCTTCTGACTCACTCATGAAATGGTATTGGGCCTCCTCATTTTCTCCCTCTATAAGATAGCATTTGTATTGCTAATGTTATTTCCATCACTACTGCTAGGAGAAAATTCTTATAATAAAAATAGTTACAGGGCCAGGTGCGGTGGCTCACACCTGTAATCCCAGCACTTTGGAAGGCCAAGGTGGGCGGATCACCTGAGGTCAGGAATTCAAGATCAGCCTGGCCAACATGGTGAAACCCCATCTCTACTAAAAATACAAAAATTAGGTCAGGCACGGTGGCTTACACCTGTAATCCCAGCACTTTGGGAGGCTGAGGCAGGAGGATCATGAGGTCAGGAGATAGAGACCATCCTGGCTTACACAGTGAAACCCCATCTCTACTAAAAATACAAAAAAATTAGCTGGGCGTGGTGGCAGGCATCTGTAGTCCCAGCTACTTGGGAGGCTGAGGCGGGAGAATGGCGTGAACCCGGGAGGTGGAGCTTGCAGTGAGCCGAGATCACCGCCACTGCACTCCCGCCTGGGCGACAGAGCAAGACTCTGTCTCGGGGGGAAGAAAAATTAGCTGGGCATGGTGGCGTGGGCCAGTGTGTGCTTTTAATCCCAGCTACTCAGGAGGCTGAGGCAGGAGAATTGCTTGAACCCAGGAGGTGGAGGTTGCAGTGGGCTGAGATCATGCCACTGCACTCCAGCCTGGATGACAGAGCAAGACTCTGTCTCAATTTAAAAAAAAGAAAAAATTAGCTGGGCATGGTGGTGCATGCCTGTAATCACAGCTACTTAGGAGGCTGAGGCAGAAGAATCACTTAAACCTGGGAGGCAGAGGTTGCAATGAGCCGAAATGATGCTACTGCACTCCAGCCTGGGTGAAAGAGCAACAATCTGTCTCAAAAAGAAAAAAAAAAGTTACAAAAACAAAATTTACCAGAACTTACAACTAACATGTACTGTGTAGGGGACAATAACCACTATAGGATACTTGAAATTGGGGGTCACCCACTGAAAGGCATCTAGAGACCAGGCAGAACAAATGCGTGAAGAAGGTGGATATGTGACCAAAGGAGGAGTGAGGATAGAGTACACACCCCAAATCATTTAACTTCAAATTGTGCAAACAGTGAGCAGACCAAATAAAACACACTCTTCACCCACACTCTGCATCATGCTCCCTTTCCCCCAATTTATAACCCCTGTATATTTGGTATACTATTCATAAAGACACTGAATATGCAAGAACATTAAAACTCTCCCTAGGCCACACACTTCATTCTGTTCATATGGACTCTTCCTTTCCATGTAGCTCTCTTATTCTCCCACATTTGTGAACCAACCTGACACCAATAGTGTCCCCTGATTAAACATAAATTCAGGTATCTCCTCCAAGCCCAGATGCCCAGAGACATCTACAAAGGCAAAAGTGGACATGAAGCAGAGGTTAAGAGTGCATTTTACTCTGTTTGCTTCTCTTACTTTACTATCACTTTTGATTTTTACCCTTAGACCAAACGCAAAACCGTTGAATACATTTTCTAAATAGCTATTTTATTTTGAAGCCCACAATCTGTATTAGCTTGCTAGACCCATAACAGAGGACCACAGACTAGGGAGATCAAACATCGGAAATATATTTCTTCGTAGTCTTGGGGCTAGAAATCCAAGTGAAGGTGTCAGCAGGCTGGTTTCTTCTGAGTCCTCTTTCCTTGGCTTGTAGATGACCACCTTCTCCCTGTTTTTTTCACATGGGCTTTCCTCTGTGTGTGCCTGGGTCCTAATTTCCCCTTCCTATAAGGACACTAGTCATATGTTGGATGAAGGCCCACTCTAATGACCTCATTTTAACTTAATTACTTCTTTAAGGACCCTATCTTTAAACACAGTCACATTCTGAGGTACTGGGGATGAGGACTTCAGCATATGAAATTTGGGGGATACACAATTCAGCACATCACATCCACTAAAAATCACTTGTAGGTTTACTTCCTGTTACATCATAGATTTTTTTCTAATAAACTACGTTCAGGAAGAATTTTAATAAACCAACAGTTTTCAAACTGGTGCCCAGACCAGAGAACCTGTTCGAAATGCAGATTTTAGGGATCCATCCCAAACCTTCTGAATCAGAAATTCTGAGGGTGGGGGCTGAGCAACCTAATTTTTATTAACATACCTTTCTGGTGACTGCGATGCACACTGAAGTGTGAGAACCTCTGAAATTAACCAAATGGCAATTTTAACATACTTTAAAGAGCATCTCATTAATTTAATTTTATTTATTTTTTAAACTTTTATTTTAGGTACAGTGGTGCATCTGAAGGTTTTTTATATGGGTAAATTTGTGTCACAGGGGTTTGTTGAACAGATTACTTTCTCACTCAGGTACCAAGCCTAGTACCCAATAGTTACTTTTTCTGATCCTCTCCCTTCCTCCTCCTCTCACCCTCCACCGTCAAGGAGGCCCCAGTATCTGTTGTTCCCCTCTATGTGTCCATGTGTTCTCATCATTTAAGTCCCACTTAAAGTGAGAACATGTGGTATTTGCCTTTCTGTTCCTGCATTTTTGTTAAGGATAATGGCCTCCAGCTTCATCCATGTTCCTGCAAAGGACATAATCTCATTCTTTTTATGGCTGCATAGTATTCCATGGTATATATGCACCGCATTTTCTTTATTCACTTTGCCACTGATGGGCATTGAGGTTGATTCCATATATTTGCAATTGTGAATAGTGCTGCAATGAACATACACATGCATATGCCTTTATGGGAGAATGATTTATTACATCAGATATATCAGTAAGGGGATTGAATGGTAGTTCTGTTTTTCGCTATTTCAGGAATTGCCACACTGCTTTCCACAACAGTTGAACTAATTTACACTCCCACCAACAGTGTGTAAGCATTCTCTTTTATCCGCAACCTTGCCAGCATCTGTTAGTTTTTGACCTTTTAATAATAGACATTCTGATTGGTGTGAGATGCTATCTCATGGTGGTTTTGATTTGCATTTCTCTCATGATCAGTGATGTTGAGCTTTTCTTCATATGCTTATTGGCCACATGTATGTCTTCTTTTGAAAAGTGTCTATTCATGTCCTTTGCCTACTTTTTAATGGGGTGTTGTTGTTGTTGTTGTAAATTTGTTAAAGTTTTTTTATAGATACTGGATATTAGACCTTTGTCAGATGATGAATAGTTTGCAAATATTTTCTCTCATTCTGTAGGTTTTCTGTTTACTCTGTGGATGGTTTCTTTTGCTGTGCAGAAACTCTTAAGTTTAATCCAATTTGTCAATTTTTGCTTTTTTGCAATTGTTTTTGGTATGAAAATGAAATCTTTGCCAGTTTCTTTGTCCTGAATGGTATTGCCTAGGTTAACTTTCAGGGCTTTTATAGTTTTGTAATTTACATTTAAGTCTTTAATCCATGTTGAGTTGATTCTTGTGTATGGTGTAACATAGGAGTCCATTTTCAGTCTTCTGCATATGATAAGCCAGTTGTCCCAGAACTATTTATTGAACAGGAAGTCGTTTCTATAAGGGGTAATTTGAATGGAATAATGTGGTAGATTCTTTTTAAGGCAAAGAGTTCTTTTAAAAACGTGAGTAATCACCTTCTAATTTTTGTATTTTGAAAATTCTGAATTTTAATGCCAACCCTTTTTTATAAGGAGGCATATCAGCATGTCATTTGATTAAGTCTGATGTTCACACTTTGCAACAATTTTGAGTATACAGCCATATATATGTGAATATATATACTGCTAACTCTTATCTTCAGCTTGCTAATTTCTACTAGGCTCACTAGGTAATATCTCCCATGTTCTATTTCAATTTATTCAGGTCAAACCCCAATTGCAGCTTCCTCCAATGACTTCTCCCAAGCATTTCTCATTCCTTGAAAGGAGATTCCCCCAGGCTGAACTGAGCAATGATCAAAATTCCTTGTGTCACGTTACTTCAGAATTACCAAAATTACAGATTTAAGTGGAGGTCCTTCCAGTTTTTTCCTCTTACATTCTAGAATTACAAATCAGTTCAATTGAGAAGACAGACGCTTTTCTGGCTATTTTGTGCCCAGAAGTAGAAAAATTACTTCGAACAGCTACTAAGTCATGTTTTGATTGTTGTTGTTTTAGTCTCAAATATTTCAGCAGCAAATAATGAAACCTAAGAAACTCAGAGGTGGCCTGCCGAAATGAATTTTATTCCTTTTGCAGACAACCAGGCCTTTGGCAATTTTTTTGTCTAAGAAAAATCACATTTTGCTAAAATACTCATACAAAACACACACAACATACACATGCATATGAGCACTTTTCTCTGTGGTGGTCAATGGTGGCAAAGACACTATGCATTTATCACCTAACCAAGATGGGAATTCACATTTTTCTGAGCCAATAACAAAAGTACCTTTAATTTTGTTTCTTCTTCTTATTTTTTTAAAGACAGGGTCTCACTCTGTTGCCCAGGCTGGACTAAAATGGCATGATCACAGCTCACTGTAGCCTCAACCTCCTGGGCTCAAGCGATCCTCCCACCTCAGCCTCCCAAGTAGCTGGGACTACAGGCGTGCACTACCACGTTCAGCTAGATTTTTGTACTTTTTGTGGAGATGGGGTTTGCCATGTTGGCCAGTCTTGTCTTGAATTCCTGGGCTCAAGCAATCTGCCCACCTTGGCCTCCTAAAGTGTTTGGATTACAGGTGTGAGCCGCCACTCCTGGCCTAATTTTATTTTTCATTTAAAAATATTTAATCATCCAAATGATAGGTGTTATTCTCGATTAGTCTTTGGAGTACTAACATTTTCATGAAGGCATTCAACCTAAATGGAGGTGAAGTGGCCTAAAATTATGGCAGAAAGAGAAATGGAAGGTTAGTGTCCAGTAAACAGTGTCAAATCAAGGCCACTGTCACCACTGAGCACTGAGCCTCTGAAGATTCATCTTGTAGGATAGTAGCTTTAACATGTTAATGAATCATAGATGGGTAACTTTGAGAGTCTGATTAAAGCTACGGAAACTCTCCTGAAAATAATGCACCCAAGCCCATACACCATTCTAATACAATACCGGGGGGCTTGCAGGCTCTAAAATAAGCATTCTCACTATTAGGGGATGGACTTTGGGCCCAGTCTTGAACTCAATTCAAGCATCATCAGAAATGGAGGATATTAACTCTTTTCTCCAAAGACAGATATTTTGCAACCTTTGAAATACAGGTATTTAATTTTTTATTGAGCCTTTAGTATATCAAGAAATCTGCAAAACCTAGTCCTTGCTCATAGAGAAGGGTGAGAGGAGGTAGTGATAGGAAATATAAATGCTATAAGAGGGGTAAAAACACATTTTTAAAGTTTAAATGAAAGAGATACTATGTTCAACTAAAAAGAGGACGGGGAATTAAGAAAAGCTTCAAGGCATTGGAGAAACACTTTACAAGATGAAAAGAATTTAAAAGGTATAGTTGGCCAGAGAAGGTGAAAGGGGAGGAGAGAGAAAAGATCTTTCAGGAGAAAGGAAGGGCGTTAGTATAAAGTGTAGAGTCAGGAGAATGAAGTAGTTTTTAGAATCCTCTTTGATTAGATCAGTGATCTTCTCAATCCCGGCTGTGCTTTCTAATTACCTGGAGAGATTTTAAGACCCTACCCCAGATCATCAAATCAGAATCCCTGGGGTTCGTGAAGCCCAGACATCTGTATATTTTTAAAGCTCCCTAGGTGACTCTAATATGCAGCCCGGATTGGGTGCATGTCAGAATGGACCAGAGCATAGAGACGGAACTGTAGAGAGCAGGAGATGAGACTGGCTGAGTAGAGGACCTCCTATGCCCACGAGGCGTCCTGCACTTAGCCAAGAATCCTGGAAAGTTTTTAGGCAGGGGTGACATGATCAGGGCTGTCTCACTGAATTATTCTTTGTTGAAAACTGCCCTGTCGTATACACTGAGCTCATACAGATTGAGTAAACAGAAACGAGGCATTGACTTCCTCTGCCATGTCTAGTTACCATGGAAACAGAATACCATCACTCACAAGGAAGTGTTTCCAGCTTGTTCTCTGTGATCACTGCTGCTCCTTTCATATGTTCTCCAGATAAAACTGAAATGTCTTTTTGCCTATTGTGTTTCCATTGTCTGGAATTTCCTCAATTTTTTTTTCCACTTTGCTTCCTTGGTAAGGATTTGCACAGTCAGACAAGTGGCATACTTGGTTAATTCACTAATGTCAAAATATTTTGATAAAAAATTGTTGTCTTCTTAAGGAGATTGGCTGTCTGGTTTGAGGCAGAATGGCATCATGGGAAGAAACTTAAAGTCAGGAAGCACTGAGTGTGAATTCTGGCTTGGTTATTTGCTAGCAAGTTAAGTTCTCTAAGTCTTAATTTTTTTTTTCTTTTGGTGAGTATGGGTTTTTTTGCTTGTTTGTTTTGTTTTGCTTTATTTTTTTGAGACAGGTCTCACTCTGTCACCCAGGCTGGAGTGCAGTAGTGCCATCTCGGCTCACTGCAACCTCCGCCTCCCCAGTTCAAGCAATCCTCCTGCCCCAGTGTCCTGAGTAGCTGGGACTACAGACATGACACCACGCTCAGGTAATTTTTGTATTTTTAATAGAGACGGGGTTTCACCATGTTGGCCAGCCTGGTCTTGTTTTCCTAGCCTCAAGTGATCTGCCTGCCTCGGCCTCCCAAAGTGTTGGGATCATAGGTGTGGGCCACTGCGTCCGGCCTGAGTCTTAGTTTCTTTATAAAATTGTAGAATAATACAATTTGTTTAGCATAGAAGTGAAGACTGTAGAGGAAATATGTAGATTGCATATTGTACTGGGCAAGTAATAGCTCAATAAAGGATAGCTGCTATGCTATTATTAAACAGTGTTACCCAGATCTTAAAAGTAGGATTTATAATAAGACCTTTGGTAGTTTATTTTTTCTTCAGAGAGATTATTTTCATCTCCCAAAGTTAGAGGCCAAAAAATTAAGTGCAAGGAATAAAAATGTTGTGGGTTTTTAAAAATGTCTTTCTTTCTGATAATGACATTTTTGGAAGATACCACTACCTAAAACACTTCTGATTTTTTAAGAAGCTAAGATCAAGACCAGGCACAGTGGCTTACATCTGTAATCCTAGCACGTTGGGAGGCTAAGGCAGGAGGACTGCTTGAAGCTAGGAATTTGAAAAGAGCCTGGGCAATACAGTGAGACCCTGTCTCTACAAAAAATTAAGAAATTAAAAAATTAGCTGGACATGGTGGCATGCACCTGTTTCCTCAGCTACTTGGGAGGCTGAGGAGGGAGGATCCTTTGAACCCAGGAGGTTGAGCCTGCAGTGAGCTATGATCATGCCACTGGACTCCAGACTGGGCAACACAGCAAGACTCCGTCTCTTAGGAAGAAAAAAATGAAGGGCAGGGCATGGTGGCTCATGTCTGTAATCCCAGCACTTTGAGAGGCTGAGGCGAATGGATCACTTGAGGTCAGGCATTCAAGACCAGCCTGGCCAACATGGGAAAACCCCATCTCTGCTAAAAATACAAACAAACAAAAAATTGGCCAGGTGTGGTGGTGAGTGCCTGTATTCCCAGCTAATTGAGAGGCTGAGGCAGGAGAATCACTTGAACCTGGGAGGTGGAAGTTGCAGTGAGCCAAGATCATGCCACTGCACTCCAGCCTGAGCAACAGACTGAGACTCCATTTCAAAAAAAAAGAAGAAGAAGAAACATCTCACAATAAGAATTCTAAAATGACATGCCATTCAGATCAGGAGAAAACACAGGGTTTCTAGAAATGAAAAGATATTTGTTAATTTTGAATCAATATATGGAATCTTTTATGGAAACATTAAGAAAGACATCTAGTTAGAATACATGCAAATGGTAATTTTTAAGTTAAAATGCTTTGAGTACTTGTAATATACCATGTATTGTACTAAGCATCTTACATGAATTTTTTTTATATTGACTACATTTGATCTTCATGACAGCCCTATGAGGTAGATTAGCTTTTACTGAGGTTGAGGAGAAACAGAGAATACTGCTGTGTATGTAGCCTATAAGCTGTTGTCTCTATTACGCTTATTTTTTTTTTTTTGTCTTTTTTTTTCTTCCTTTTCGTGGAGAACGGGGTCTCGCTATATTGCCCAGGCAGGTCTTGAACTCCTGGGCTCAAGCTATCCTCCCGCCTCTGCCTCCCTGAGAGCTAGGATTACAGGTGTGAGCCACCATGCCCGGCCAAGCTGTTGTCTCTATTATCCTTTTAACTTTTCTTCATTGTTCATGCCTGTAGTTCATTTCATTGACTTCCTCTCAAGAAATCACAGCCTGAGTTTCTCATGACCTTCCTTTATTTCAACTCTCTTCCCATGGAAAGTTCATTGTTTCCTTCCTTGCTCACTGGAAGGCTACAGTGAGCTATGATCATGCCACTGGACTCCAGTCTGGGCAACACAGCAAGACTCTGTCTCTTAGAAAAAAAAAAAAATGAAGGGCCAGGCATAGTGGTTCATGTCTGTAATCCTAGCATTTTGAGAGGCTGAGGTGAGCTCCTCCAATCTGAGCTCATCTCTCTTACCCGTTAGTTTCCATGTCCTGGAAATTCTTCCTCATTTGTGCTGCATGTTTACCTGGAGCTTACTCCCTTCTGCTGAACCACTTCTTCTCTAACCATGTCCCGCTGGAGTCTACAACATTGCCAGACATTTTGTTGTGTACTTAATGAAGATGATGTAAAGACTGCATTTCTCAGTAGTGTCATTTCAGAAGACTGACTGTGGAGGAAAATGGGTCAAGACGACTTCCCTGCAGTTATCCTATCATTATCATCAAAGATCAATTTCCAGAACCAGAATTTGAGTCTATTCAGTCAAATGGCTTCATTGACTCCCTCTATAAAGTTTTATTGAACAATTTATTCTTTTAAAATATTCAAAAATGCAAAAAATCTTCATTAAAAAAACATAAACTTCTATCATTGATATTTTCCAAGACTTTGTTTTAAACTGATGCTGAGAATCGTCTTTATGTATAATTCTTATTCCTTAGGGGAGAACCATTAAAACTAGTTGACCAAAGGAACTGATTTTAAGAGGAAGTTCCACAGTGGTCTTTTTTCATACTTCAAAGAATAATACATATTATTGGTATCCATATATCTTTTCTCAGATCTTCCAAACTGCTCCCAGATTTGAATTTCTTAAAAATCTCTCACTGCCAACATATTGCTGGTGTTGAAATACAATCCATGTCTCTCACAGCTTCAACAAACATATTTAACACATTTATGCATACATTAGTTAGTGTAAACATGACTCACTTAAGTATAAAAGGTTTTTTAGAATTTTAAAATTTCACCACCATGTCATTCCACGGAAACTACCTCGGGGCTACTATGAAGGAGTTTCAAACATCTCTCACATAAAACATCATTATACATTAGTAGAAACTCTATTCAGTCAAGAAGAATGGCATACTAACTGGAGGCAGCTCTATAAACCACATGCCGTTTTAATTAAATTCATTTAAAATGCTGTGTCTCTCAGTAGATTTGAGGGCAGATAGAACCACTTAACAATAGCCAAGATCTAATCCAGTTTGTCAGAACTAATAATAATACAAATGCAATTTCTCACACAGGGACACATCCAAAAAGTTCACAAATGAGCAATTGTGAGGTCTTTTTAAAAAGTAAAATTTATAAATTATTGCAAGATGTTACCAGCCTCAAACCATGGTTGCAATTTCTAATTCCAATGAGTTGATAAAAGGTGCTATTAATAAAAAGGCACATTTTGGGCAGCTGACATAACTAATTGATCAAGTAATTTGAGTAAAAATACAAGATTTCACTAGGAAACCCGGACAGGGATGAAATCACTCAATTTTCCAAAAGCCAGAAGGCCTTGAAAAAAGAGGAGACCACAGAACACTTTTATGCCTAACCAAAACCAAATAAAATGATCCCAACGTACAAATAGGCTTCAGATGATATAATGTGACGAGAGATTTCAACTATGTAGGCAAACCTTTCATTTTCTTACCCAAATATGCCAAGCCAAGGATTACCTAAATAGACGAAGGGAGAGTCCTATTTCCTCAGCGTGTTGTCTCTGTAAGGGTGGAAAGGAAAACTTTTTCCCACCTCTTCAAATTTCGCTGTACCTCACCAATGTTCAATATAACACTTGGATCTTAAGATCTGGGTTAAATTTAAGCAAAGTAAGAGAAAATGGTCCCAGATGAACATGAATTTACCTAGGCTGACACTTCTAGTAATGATTACTGGAAGATGTGTTACTGCCAGCCCACCCAAGGATCTTTCTAGCAGCCCAAATCACTACTTATTCAGAGCACCTGAAGATGATGGGGACACTATTTAGTTCTGCTGGATGACTGCTGAAGTTACCACTGTGAATGAACTATGGATAGAGGGAAACAGATGCTCAAACTTCCTATCCAGGACTTTAAGAAATATGGTGCATCTCTTTGTCCTCTTCTTCTGGAGAAAATAGACACCTCCCAAAGCTCAACATGACTAAGAAGTACCCGGTTTTGGCAAGAACATTGTCTTGATCTACTTTATGAGGGGAAAATTGGTATCCATAAAACTTTTCTCAGTCTTCGGCAGCAAAACAATACCTATTATTGAAATAATAGTTCAAAGAAAAGCATTTTTTCCAACCATTTTGTCATTTTATCTTCACAATATCCTCTTGACAAAAAGATTGACAGGAGATGTGAAATTTGTGATCCTAAACAAAAGAAAATGGTTGCTCCAGGGAAAGAAGATGGTTTTGGAAATAGAGAACATACTGAAGGAAATAGGAAAGGAAGGAAATTTTAAATGGTTCTGCTGAAGATAAAAAAAATACATATGAATATGGTGTCCTCAGCCAGAGCATATATCAAACAAATGGAAGCTATGAGGGTAGCAATGTGCAAGGCAAATCCCACCCCTGTGAACAGTAAATAAATTATAAACTCATACACATTTAACCATATTTTCTTTCTTACCTTGGAACTAATATTATCCAGAGAACTATCTGATGCATGACCATATGCCTGACTCAAACTGCTTACTTAATCAGGAAATGTGAATGGGCTGCCAGGGGCTGCCATATGACACTAGAGAATAATCAGGCAGAGGGAATCAAAAGTTATTCTCACTTGCTTTGAGCCATCGGCTCAATCTTATTTCCCATTACCAGAAAAATAATTAGCTTGAGCCTCCAGTATGCCACCCTCATGGTGAAAATGAACACTTGCTCTATTGATCACAAGAAAACAAATGTCACACTACAAGTTTTGAGCTATTGAAAGAGATCATTTGTTCCCAAATAGTCCAAGAACTACCTTCCTTTAGGCAAAGGAAAGGTTTTCAGTCTGATATATTTTACTGCAACAAAATCATCTGAAGTGTTATCAAAACTGGAATGCTGTGCTAACAATTTTACAGAAAATCTTATTTCATGCTATGGCTTTATGGTAATAGTGATCAGGTTTTACTTTTTTTTTTCTTTTTCCTTTTCAAATAAGTCATCAAGTATAGCAAGCTTCCTGGCTCTCTTCCCTCACAAACCTACACAGTTAGTACCTTCACACACAGGCTCAGCATTGACACACATTCATAGAGAATTGGAAGGATTTCAGGGCTCAGCATCAAGGTGACTTTATTGCTGCTTCCACTCTGACCCTGTAATCCACTTCTACAAATGGGCTATTTCCTTGTTCCTAGAATATAACCCTCTCCCTTCTGCCTAAGTTACTCTTTCTTGTGTAATTACCTATGGTCATTAACATTATCTTCAGTACTTTGATTTCTTCAGAACTGACATCGTGACATAATTTTCCTTCTACTGTTTGAGATTCTTAAGAGGACTAAATAAATAGCATCCAAATGAGAAATTAGGGAAAGATAAAAAAATGGAGGGAGGCCAAAATAACATTTTCATTGTTGATAACGAACGAGTGAAAATGCAAGTTATGGGAGGCTGAGATGGGCGGATCGTGAGGGTCAGGAGTTTGAGACCAGCCTGGCCAATATGGTGAAACCCCATCTCTACTAAAAATACAAAAATTAGCTGGGCACGGTGGTGTGCACCTGTAATCCCAGCTACTCGGGAGGCTGAGGCAGGAGAATCGGTTGAACTCAGGAGGCGGAGGTTGCAGTGAGCTGAGAACACGTCACTGTACTCCAGCCTGGGTGACAGAGCAAGATTCTGTCTCAAAAAAAAAAAAAAAAAAAAAAAGTAAGAAGATGTAGGTTATGAAGAAAGCCAAATGGATCTACTAATTGATTTCCTGAAATAGGCAGACTTACCCACTCTCTCACAGGTAAGGCTGGACCTGACAGGCATCCCCTCTTGCATGTGACTTGAGTATGACTCATGGCACAAAGGAGAAGAAAGTAACTTGTAACCCCTACAGGTATGCTGGCTCCCCCAGGAAAAAAACTGGAGATGGCCTGAAACTGCCCGGGTCGTTTATCCAAACCTACCAATTGGATAAATCATTCCACCTCCTCTGGGGGTGGAGTATGCAGGGTAGAGTGGAGTGGTAAAGGGGTGGCAAGAAGCTAAGAGTATTCCACGAACGGACTTCACATTGGAAGAAACATCAGATGTGGACAGGAAGTGTGTTCGGTTGGTGGAATTCTCTCTTACCATGTGGGAGGACTGGGTTAGATTTCCAGGCAATGTACCAAGGTGTCGGGGTTTTGAAATAGTACCACTTTTTCCTGTCCAAGTTCTGAATTAATTGAAAAATAAGAACAGGAATAAAACAAATAAAGGCCAAACTATCATCATTACTAGTAATAAGGAATAGGCTGACAATTATAAGTTACTGTAAAAGTAAAACTGGACTTACTACTTCTTCCATGCAGATTCTAGACCTTGGAACAGCTCCTACATGGCAGAGCAAACACGTAACTCTAACTGGTCTGGGGAGAACGTTAGTATAAATAGACCAAATTCTTCATGCTTAGAACCATTGATAAGTTAGTTACATCCAATCAAAAAATGTTGGACAATTACCTTCCTACAATTCTCTCTCTATTAGGAGGAGAAAAGAAAGGCATACAAGTTAGAAGTTTGAGGGAAGCTTGCTCTTTCTGGATACCAGAAAAAGGGAAGTAGGCATTCCTCTCTTAATGTACCCCCCATGAAGCCTAGGTCATATGGTTGAATTTCTAATGCCTTCAACTAGATAGCCCAGATTTTGACCCTTAACTGTCTAAAATGTATGGAGGCCACACAGAGCTCTCCTGCCCTCATTTCCGTGTCTTTGACTAGTTATTTGTTATGACTTTCTTTCTTGCTTTATGCCACAAGAGCTAAGCATGACTCTTTTTACTCTTTGATTATTTTATCACTTACTTTACTTTTGCTGTTCCTCTCCCCATAATTACTTCTTCTTCACTTCTCTACTATCCCCAAAATATAAGACTCTTTTTCATTTAAGAGTTTTAATGCTAGTTACTATAGACTACAGGATTTCAGCAAAAAAAAAGAACAATGGAGAATTTCTGTAAATAACAAAGTGCTGCCACTCACCTTCTTTGTCCTGTTATTAGAAAATATATTACCTTTCTATAAGTTATAGGCTGAATAATACAATTATTGGTATAGTGTTTTATATCACTGCTATTTAAATAAGTTAAGAGAAGGAAAAGAAAAAAGAAATATTTATGTATACTATCTTTTATAGTTACATAGCTACCTCTACTTGTGCTCTTTGTTTTTCCCTATAGATTTGAATTACTCTCTGGGGTCAGTCACTTTCAGTCTGAATAACTTTCTTTTATATTTCTTGTAAGGTGGGTCTGTGACTACAAATTATCTCAATGATTATCTGTGAATGTTTTTACTTTACCTTCATTTTTAAAAGATAGCTTTGCTGGGTAGTGATTCTTGATTGATAGTTGTTTTTTTTTTTTTCTTCTTTTCTTTGGGCACTAGGAATACACCACACCACTGTCTTCTGGTCATAATTATTTCTGATAAGAAGTCAGCAGTTTATCTTATTGAGGTTCTCTTGTAAGTGAAAATTCATTTTCTCTTGCTGCTTTCAGGATATTTTCCTTGTCTTTGGGTTTCAGCATTTGTACTATGCTGTGTCTATGGAACTATTTGCTTTAATCTTACTTGGAGTTTAGAGCCTCTTAGGTTTATAGTTAAAGTTTTTCATCAAATTTGAGAAATTTTATTCCATTATTTATTTGAGTATTTTCTACTCCTTTTTCTTTGATCTATCCTTCTGGCATTCCTGTTACAGGTAGGCTGATTTGCTTAATGGTATCCCACATTTCTCTGAGGATCTCTTAGTTTTTCTTCATTGTTTATCCTTTCTCATCTTCAGACTGCATACTCCCTATCAATCTATCTTGAAGTTTGCTAATTCTTTTCTTCTATTAGTTCAATGTTTGTTTATGTGCCTTTAATGAATTTTTCACTTCAGTTTTTGTACTGAACTCTAGAATTTACATTTGATTCCTTTTTTTTCCAAAAAATTTCTAGCTCTGTGTTGACATTCTCTATTTGGTGAAATATAGTAATCATACTTTCATTTACTTCATTAGTATGGTTTCTTTTAGTTCTTTGAAAAAACACATACACACATACACAACTCTGAAGTCTTTGTTAAATCCATCTAGTTGCCCTCACAGGCAGTTTCTGTTGCCTGCTTCCCTGCCTGTGTAGGGGTCAGACTTTCTGGTTTCTTTGCCTCAAATTTCTTTTTTTAAGAAATTGACTTTGATAATATATTGTAGCAGCACTGGATACCAGTCCCCCCAACCCCCAGGTTTGTTATTGTTATTTGCTTGCTTATTTGTTTAGTGATTGGTTGGGCTATTTTGGTGAAATCTGTTCTCCCCTGTCCTCCCACAGTGTGAATCCTCTCATACTGGTCCTGGAAGGGCGCAGCCTTGGGCATGTGCATAGTTATCCTGCGGTAACAGGTTTTTGTAGTCCATTTAGCAGTTCCTTTCTCTGATCACTTCAACTGCTCAGTTTCACTAATTGCTGCCATTGAGTTCCATAATTGTTGCTCTATAGTTTTCAACACTGCCCTGGGGCACAATTTTCTCCACAGGTTGAAATAAGCCTGAATTTAATTTACAGTTTTTGAGACCAGTTTTTGAGATGTGTTGTGATCCCAGAAGGGCTCTTCTTAGCTGTCTGTTTTCCTGGTTCTGTCTGGTAAGCTAGCTATGTTTCAGCTTGTCTACACATTTAGCACATCTACCAGTCTTTTCTTAATTGCTTTACACCACTATCTTGATTGTTTTGAGGATGCCCTTAGGCTTGAACATTGAAAATCATGTTAGCTCTTTTGAGAAGACATTCTGAGCTCTCTGATTTTGACTTGCCTCTCTCCCTGGTCAAAATCTTTGCACCAAGATTCTGGAGCTGGGGGAGGGGACAATGGCACACTTCTTTCTGAGTGACACCCTTGCTTTAGCAGCTGGCTGTGTGGGAGAGTAGGGTACTGCTATTGCTTCTGGTCTACTTAGCTTGCTTTTCCCACCATGAAACCTCTGCTTTACACATGAGCCATGGAGAAGACAGTTGGGGTCCCATGTTCTCAGCATGTTGAAGCCAAGGTAAAATCTCCATCCCTCAAGTTAGTGTTGGGCTGAAAAAAGGGAGTCCCCACCTTGTACTCACACTTGCTTGGAACTTATCTTCTGAAACAAGTAGCTGGGGCAGTATGAGAAATGCTAATGTCTTGCCTCTTCCAGGAAGATACAATAGCTCTCCAAGTGGGAGCTGGCAGGAGAGGTAGCCCTGTGTTTTCTGCTGCATCCACCTGAAGTAATTTCCTTAAAGCTGAATTGGGGGCAAGGAGGGAATGGAGTATGGTTCAAATACCATAGAATCTTCCTGTTTTTACCAAGTTGTGATTAGTTTTATTAGATAAATGTTTTTCTTTTTTTCTTTTTTTTACTTGCTATATGCTATTAGGACTGCTCCCAGATATTTTAAATAGTTGTGCGGTTTTGTTGTTGTTATCATTTTTACCAATTTTACTGGGAAGTAGATTCATGGACCATCTCACATGCCCCATGTGCTCTATCTCTTGTGTCTACTTTATGCTGGAAGTGGAACCTTAGATGTTTCTTAAGTAAGTCAACATATCAGTTGTTACTCTCCAGGGAATTAAAGGTTTGCTATGCCTTGTAATATTATTTAGTTCTGCTATTTCTTGACTGTGTCATTGATTATGAGAGGTAGGCAAAAATAATTTTTGTGTGTAGCGGGGCTTATATTTGAAAATTATTAATATGCTTTTCTGTTTGTCTTTGTGAATGTAATGATATTCACCCTAGTGTACCTAGGGCATTTTTTTTGCCAGTAGAGAGATTAGAATTTGATATAGAATGAAAATAAAACAGCTAAGGTAAAACTCAGCTTCCATCTCAAAACATTGAATTTTGTAATCCCACTGTAGTTTGAGAGCCAAGTTTAATTGAGGGAGAAAGGATATTCCAGTTTTTTTCCTTACCATTTAAAATATCAATAACTACCAAGATCACTCCTTCTGTCCAGAACAGTAAAACCTTGAGACTCCATGGTAGAATGAAGATATAAATTGAAGGAAGTTAAACAGGGGAATTTATTTCCAGATAGGAGCATTTCGGAAGAAGAGACAAAGTTTCAGATATATCTGGATTTTCACTTTCTGGGGGAAGCATTAGGAGAGGTGGAGTGTTAAACTAAGAGGAGGAATGAGCACAGGGTTCTTGAACCACACTCCTTTTTTGGGAATCTGAAAAGAGACCACCATGCAATAGATCTTATTCACCATAGGCATCTGAGCCTCCCTGGGGGTGACTGGCATGATAAGACTGAGAAAAGAACAGGTGAGGATCTCCCTTAAATATTCTGAGGCATGGGCACCAAAGCGAGAGTCAGTATGCCAAGAGATCTGCTGTGGTGGATAAAGGCATGGCATGGGCTGAAGGTAGACCTCTAGGATGGAGAAAGGACAAGGCATCAACTCAAGGTCTGGAGACCATGACAGCTGAGAGGAGACTAAATCATCAAAAGAGAGATAGCCAATGCTCCCTAGGAACATTGCCAAACTAAGCCAAAAGAACAAATCACAAGTTCACCAGCTACACACTCTAACACAGGGTGCCAGTGCCCAGGTGGACAAAGGACATCATGCCAGAGGGCAACAGATGTCAGCCAGCATGCTGCCAGGGACTAGCACAAGGCCAGAGTCCCTCATCCTCCCTATCTCCACCAAGGCCATTAGATCATGTAAACCTCATCTTTCTTCCCTCTACAATTGACCATGATCTCAGAGAGAGATGCAGATGAGAGGGGGACTCTATGAATTTGGGCATTTCTACCCAAGATTAATGGAACATACTAACAGGGACGGTTTAAAAGATGAGAGTGAACTAAAGTTGTTTATTTTGTATATTTTCTCCATGTCAACTAGTGGTATTATAAATGGCTGCAGATAAAATAAAGGAACTGCATTCTCTCGGCACCTCTGATTTATAAGGTGAGTAAATTCTAGCAATGCTGCAAGCGTAATAATGTATATGAGTGTGCTGAACACATAATAAATATTATTTTTCTCTTTACCTCCCTTTTTTTTCTTTTTCTTACACCAAAGTGGGCATTTTTCCAATATATATTCTTGGCCACTTAGCATCCAAACACCCATTGTTCTAAAAGGAAGGATATAAAAATAGATCAAAGTTGAGTCATAGCATCCCCAAACATTATGGGAAGCTGAACTTGGGCAGTTATTTCTCTGCCTTGTCCCTCACAGCTGACACAGGGGCATGTAACCTAGTCCTGGCTAATGGACTCCCTTGAGGGAACACTGTCAAGAGGCAGAGAGAGTTAGAGGTTTCCAAGCCAGCAGTGACTACAGAGTTTAAATCATGAGCCTAACAGAGAGTATCCAGTGACCGGAAGTCAGGAGGCTCAGGTCTTCTAACCAGGAAGGTTAACTGGTATGATCTTGCTGTGTTAGCTGCTGTCTTAGTCTGCTCAGGCTGCCATGAAAAATAGCATAAACTGGGTGGCTTAAACAAGGACAATTTATTTTCTCACAGTTCTGGAAGCTGGGAAGTCCAAGATCAAGGTGCCAGCCAGTTCATTTTCTGGTGAAAGCTCTCTTTCTGGCTCGCAGACAGCTGCCTTCTTGCTGTGTCCTCACATGGCCTTTCCTCGGTGAACACACACACAGGGAGAAAGATCTCTCTCTCTCTCTCTCTCTTCTTTTTCTAATAAGGCCACCAATTAGAGATCCTACCCTTATGACTTCATTTAACCTTAATTACCTCCTAAAAACCCTATTTACAAACATAGTCGTATTAGGGGTTAAGCCTTCAATATATGAATTGTGGGGATACACAATCCAGTCGATAGCAGCTACCTAATTTACTTTTTATTTCAAACCTAATGCTCTGGCTTTTTTTTCTTTTGTCAATTCTATCAAGTATCTCATATCTTCTCAACAAACCTTTTTTTCTGTTTAAACTTAATTAGAGTTAGTTTCTATTGTCAGCAACCACAAACTCAGTCTGGTACAGAAACTACCATCAGGAGATAGTCACGTGGGAAGCTGATGTTGGTTATCTGCCATAGCTGATGCTAAAGAAAATAAAAATTCAGTAAGAGTTCAGGAATGGGAATCTGTCAGCTGTAACAAATAGCTACATAATTTTTCTTCTATGGTGATCTTTAATGAAGTGTCCGTTGAAAAGAAGGATTTAGGGGATCAAATTTTCACTGCTATTGAATAGTGTGAGTGGCATGAAGAATTTAAAGACACTAGGATGAGGTGGATACTTCTAATGGGACTGGACAGCTGTAAGAAATAGATGACAGGTTGAAGTCTCTATATTTTAGATCTAGGCATAGACCCATGGACTTTCTCTGCTTGTGATAAGTATCTACAAAAATGTCAAAGTCAAATGCAAAGTTTAAATTCTGTGGGTTTCTGAATAAGGTCTGTGGAATTGCTAGTGTCACCAGGTGACTTATGTGAAAGTGACAGCAATGATCAGGAAATAATGGGAAATTGAATGTAGGTAAGAATACGGAGGCCTGGGAGTACCTCCAAACCATGTTCTACACTAAGCCTTGCTTGACAGCCAAAGACCTGCAGCCTTTCTCTTTGCATCTTCATCATCCTACCTCAGGGCTGAGCCAGTTCTCTATCTGTAGCCCTTGTCAATCTCACCTTCAACATGGAGCATCATGTCAGCAGGACCTGGAGAGGAAGCTGTAGCTGGTATCTTTAAGACCTAGTTAAGACATTATGTAGGCCAGAGGATGGAGGAAAAATCTTTGAAAACATAAGTACTCGCTACCTTAAGAAAGTCTCTATTGGTCTAGTCATCTGGTAAACTCCAAAGTATATGTGAATACCTTAATTCTCTAATATTAAGAGTCGAAATGCTTAGTGGGTCATTCTGGGTTTTGCAGGCAACATGTTCAACATTTGCACCTATTTATTCAATCCATTTACCCAGTGGTTTGAAAGTTTTTCTTTCAAATGGCTATACTACTTGGAAATTATGGTCCAGCTGACCCAATGGTGCCCCAAGTGTCTATGGCAAATCAAACAAATGTCCCTAAGAGGTGAGTCTCAGAAGAAGTGCTTAGATTTTAGAATAATAATGTGGCCTCTTTATTGCATTACTCTCCCTTTGAGAGAGATGTCTTGGTTTGCTACTGGGCCTGAGTAGAGATTAAACCTTGACCACAAGATACCAGGTGACTATCAAAACAAACTATGATTATGTACCAGGTTGTAGAAATTTCCTCCTCCTTCCTCCAGTGTGGCTTGCATCTTTCCAGCAGATTAAGAAATTCTCATTCCCCCAGGGGGAACATAGTGAACTTGGTGTTTCTAGAGATGTCTGGCATTATCTTTGTCGTTCAACAGCATTTCTTGGGTACTCAGGATAAGCCATGCACTCACTCACTATAATAAAGATGCAAAAGACTGGCTCCCTAAGCCCAGGACCTCATGGTTGGTACAGAAATGGGTTCATAATAGGCAACAGAGAGGCAGCCTTGGAGGGGACCATAATTTCGTTTTCCTTTCTTGCTACTTGGGAATAAAATTATGTGTTTCAAATATATTGGGGCAAAGGTATCCTTCTCCAAGTCAGTGTTGGCCATTCTTGGCCTTCTTTCCCTGCAGAGAAGGAAGGTCTAACCTTGTTGAAAGAACAGTATTCATGGAGAATTTATACTTAAATCTTGCTTATTTATATCACTGTCTGGAGTGTTTCTCATAACAGATCATTATGATCAAAAATTAATACTTACTATGATGAGAATGTTCATTACGGTGCACAGTACAGAAAGGATGCTTAAGCTTGGGCAAATCCAAAGTGCCTTCCCCTTCATTTTCAAAAGTAAAATGGGAATGTGTAAGAACTTGAATGCACTAGAATCCATTAGAGGCAGAACAAATCAATGCTCTGAGATCATTAGTTTGATTATCATTAAACTGTCCACAGTCAAACAATGACAAAAAATAATCAGCATGCCTTCTTACATTGTGGGCAACAGCAAGCCAAAGTGGATGTTATATATGCCAGAGCTTCAAATGTTAGCCACCCAAGAGCCTCATTGTGTCATAAAATTCCGTAGTTGTTTCCTGCCGCTGAAAGGCGCAGTTTTCATGAAAACATTGCCATGGCTCAAACCCCACAGTGGAGCCAACCCACATCTGCCGCATGGTAGAACCTCAGTGCCAACTGTCCACTGCTCCACGCAGCTCTCCTGCCAACCACCTCCCCACAGCAGGTGAAAGTGAGCACCAGCACCCTCTATGGCCGGGCAGCCGGGTGACTGCCGGCAGCCAAGGGTCAAGGCATCATCGCCTGTGGTGAGGGGCAGTTTGCTGAACCCAAATTGAAAGGTTTTTCTGTCCAAATCCATCCAGGATTGCTTAAATGTCAAGAACTATGGTAGCTAGCTTTGGGTTCTGTATTGTAATCTGAACCATGTAAATGCCCTTCACCACAAAAAAGCTTGATGGATCTTGTGAACAAAACAGAAAGAACTTCTGCCAATAGCTGAGAAATAAATTCCCCCTTTCCTGCTGCTTGGACCACAGCATAATGAGGGCTCCCAAGCTCTCCTTGCAGTAATAAAATGGAATGTACAGCCTTTTCCTTTTGATGTGCTCCAGTTTAAAACTTTAGAGCTGATGCCTTTTCATCCTTAATTTATCTTCCCTTGTAAATATTTCTTTACCACTTCCAATATCTTAAGTACACATTTTAAAAAATAATTCACTCCTTCTCCTATTTCAGTTGTATAACTTTATGCTATGGGTCAAGTTTTGGGCTAAATAAACATGCCTCCAGCTACAGCTCTGCAAATACCTCTGGCAGCAAATTAAGTCAAACAAATGTTTTGGTTGGGTGGTGAGGATGTTTTTTAACGATCTTCCTGTTCTTGTCTGGAGGCCCAAGGATAGACTAGGTGAACTCTCACAGGCTTTTCTAATTTTGTATTTTCTTTTTCTTTTCTTTCTTTCCCCCTCGCTAACTGTATTTTCAGCCACGTTAATATACAGGTCTCATTTGTTGGGTTGGTTGGTTTAAAAGCTCACCAGCAGAGGGTGCTACTTGTTTGCTTCTAAAATTCATTTCACTGGGGCTTGAGAAATGGAGGCCCTGCTACTGAAGAACTGTCCCCACAACAGCTTGTATAGGCAAGATTTTCAGAATGCCTAACGGCACCCCGGACTTCAAGGAATCTGATTCACTTTGCTTTTGGCGTTATTTATTTAGAACCAAAACTGAAAACCTGTAGCTTGCATAAACAAAAATGCACTGATTTTTATATTTCCGGTAAATCACTAAGGGGGAAATGCTAATCATTTTTGCATTTCATGGCTTTTGTCCATACTTACTACATAGCAACAAGGAACCCAGAATTCCAACATCCTCTTCACCCACCGAAGAATAAAATAACATAAAGTAAAAAGAGTATTTGCTTTGCTATAACAACGTTAGCCTCTAACAATGAAACTTTCACTTACCCTATTTTCAAAATACATCTCCCTCTTCTGCTTTTGCATAATCTTGCTTTGATAAAGTTTTGAATTCTAGGAAGTATTTATCAACTTCGACTTCTCTCATGAGTGTATTTTTATGATTCTCTGATACCCGTATGTGACTTTTTCACTTGATATTTTTCTGGCATACACAAAGAAGGTATGGAGTTCAATTTCCATTCACCTATGTGGAGTTTGCATGGGAAAATACTTTTAAATTGTGGTCAGAAACTCTCGTGTGTTGTTACCTCAATTGGCAAACCAAATCAGTGGTCAGCAAAGGTTTTCTGTAAAGGGCCAGGTTATAATAAAGATTTTAGGCTTTGTGAGCCATAAGGTCTCTTTCACAACTACTCAACCCTGCCACTGCAGCAAGAAAGTAACCACAGAAGTCAATGGTTGGATATAGCTGTATTCCAACAACACCTTATTTCTAGGAACAGGTGGGTGGGCTATAGTTTGCTAAGCCATGTAAATGATGAATCTTAATGTATGCTTAAGATTCTTAATGTATGCTTAATGTATTCTTATTGATAAAATTCAGCACTGTTTCTATTACATTGTTCTTTGATGATTTTTGTTCTCCTCACATGATTTCGATGTAGTGAGATAAACCTCTTTAGTTTATCTAATTTAAAGTTGCCAGGTCACTTGGAAGAGTATCACCGAGTTCCCTCTCCATAGCTTTCAAACTCAGAAGAGGCTTTGGCTTTCAGTGTCATTATGTTTGTATCCCATGAAGAGCTCTTATGGTAAGAGGAAATCAACAAGAAAGATGTTACTTCCCAGCGATTTCTCCAGAGATAATATGGAAAGTAAGCCAAAGACATAGTTTACCTTCAGACTGATGCGTGGCAAGAGGAGTCTGGGTCTCCTTTGAGTAGGACACTACTTCCCTTGGCAGGAAATCCACTTGGGTGACCTTTGACACGCCCAGTTTATGCAGTCTTCTTCTGTAAGTAACAAAGAATAAATGCTTAGAGAGGGGAGGCATTCCTTGCAGAAGAGCTATCAGTAATAAAAGAAAGCACTAAAACAAACAAACCACAAATACCCTCAGCTTCTGAGTGCAAGGGGCAGGGTCATGAAGCAGAACTGGCTCTGGGCTGGAAGTCAGGACACGTGGGCTCTTGGCCCACGTTGGCCCTAATAGGCTGGGTGATGTCAGATAAGACCCTCAGCTTTCCTATCTGTAAAGTCTTGGTCCAGCTTACAAGAGACCTCTTCCATTCTGAGCATCCCAGATTCTACTCAGTTAAAATTTATTGAGGGAACTTCCATTTGCAATACAGGATTCTAGTCTCTTAGGAAAGAAGGAGAAAAGGAAAGTAATGCTTCTTAAATTTGAAAAAAAAAAAGAGAGGTGGGTTCTTTAATGGTGTAACACATTCTCTATCATAGCAGTGAGGGGATTATATTTAAAGAATGAGTTTAACACTTCTCATTTCTGCAGAATAGGAACTAACACAGATTAGCATGTGAATTTGCTTGAAAGACACATTGATATAGCACAGATGAGTGAAAGGGGGCACTGGGCTCAGAGTGATAAAGCCTTAGCACAGCATTCCAGACCTAACCATGACCATGTAAGAAACCATTTCTGAATATTTATGTAGCACTTCAAGGGTTTTCAGGGGTCTTTAGATTCATTATGTTACGTGCCTTTATGACACCTCTATGAAGTATGTGGATAGATGTTATAATCTCCATTTTACAGATGAGGATAGTGAGATTCCGTTAAGAGATGTGCCCAAGTATATACAACTCGTAAATTGTAGAAGAAAGGTTATGAGTCTTGGTCCGTTGTTTTCCTACCAACTCGAACTCCTAACTAAGGTTCTTACTGGTGAGTTCTTGAGTTACTGCAAAAATCGAAGTGCCTCCTGAGACACCCAGGAAACATCCAGTCGTGGAGGTATAGTAGTATCACCTGGTGATTAAATACATAACCCCTAGCCCCACCATTTACCAGCGTGTGTCTCATCTTGAACAAGTCACTAATCTCTCTGTGCCTCAGCTTCCTCATCTGTAAAACGGAGACAGAGGTACTTTCTAATTGTTATGGGTAATGTCTATGTACCACATACACATAATGCATATGCCACATATATATTATGTAGTCATATGTACATAATTTACAAACATATGTATTTTAAAACAGCTTCTGGAACATTGTTTTTAGTATATAGTTATTATGTTATTAGTATTGGACATATTCTATTTCTAAAAATTTCCAGGCATGGAGTGCATGCGTCTCTGTGGGAGAAAAAGAAAAAAAAGGTATACTACCCATTTAGCCAAAATCTTGCATTCCCTAGCTCTCTAGGAGCAACAGAAGTATATTCTATGCATATTATTGTCCTTAATTGTTACTAGCGGATGGCACAGCCTTATTTCTTTTTCTTTAAATTATTATTAATAGGAATAAAGTGAGAAAATGCATGGCACAGTTAGGAATTTTCACATACAATTTCCCAAACACTGTAGGAAAACAAAAATTCTTCTTGTCTATGAGTTACTAACACAATTGAGATGAGATCTAAGATGTGCTCAAAGTAGGTACAAGCAAATAAACAAACAAACGCTGGTTAGAGGACAAGCCTCGCTGGCTGTCTCTGTGTTCTAAGTGACCGTGACTGGAGCCCAGGCTCCACGCAGGCCTGAACCACATGGGCCTGTTTCACTGGGAGCTCTGGGACACAGAATGCAAGAGAGTCCAGGCTGGGCCCAGGCTGAGCTTTGCACAAGTGACAAACCTTGCTCCCTTCTTACACAGAAATGGGGAAAGCACATACCATATATCAGAAACAAAATCACCAAATGAGGGAAAATCCTCAAAGTTTCAAAGTAAGACATTCAAGGTATTATTTTAAAACCTCCCTGGGTCAGAAAAGAATGTTTTCCTGCCTGAAGTGGGTCTTTCTTGAAGCACCTAAAGAAGAAAACATGAAAAGACATTGCAGGACTGCTTGAGGCAAAGCCTCTCCGCTGCTTAGTAGCCCAGTGTCTTTCTGAGGCCCCAGTAGATCAGTCTTTATTATAAACAAGGAAGTGGAAAATAATCCACTTCAAATTGAGGCCACCTGAGCACAGAGAGATCACCCTAAACCCTCAACTGCCCTGGGCACCTGCATGAGACCCAGGGAGCTCCAGCTCTGGTTAAGTGGTAGCTACCTCTACAGGCAGGGATTTCAGGGCATCCTGCTAACATGACGTAAGCTGCAGCCCTATCTCGTTTGGGACCAGCAACAGGTGCTGGGCAACAGGAGGCTGATGTGTAATTTGATACTCCACCATGGCGGACTGAAACCAGCAGGTGAGACCATACAGCACAATGGTGATGTCATGCACTCATTCTGAAACTGGGTTCATAGTTCTGCTTTGAACATACAGCTGAATGGTAGGGGAAAACTTTGGACAAGTGACAAACTTCTCTAAGCCTCATGTTTCTTATCTGTAAAATGGGTACCTGTCATTGAGTTGTGAGGACTGAATGAAGCTAATGCTTACATAGCACTTAGTTTAGTGCCTGGTATATATCAAGTGGCTCTTGGCTCAAGCAGCTCTACTTTATCTGTTCTGATGATTATAATAATGTTTATATTTGTAAAAGAAAATCAGAGAAAGCAGATTTAGGAGTGTCCTACATTAAAGATTCCTTAAGATAGTAGAGTTGAAGATGATCTCTGACAACAAAATGAGAATCATACTCCTAATTTCTTTATATGGGCACATGGATAGGATGTGGCTGCTTGGGAGAGTTCATTTGCTTTTCCTTAACTTCTTTTCCTTTGAAACATCTGTTTTCAAAACGTAGGTGGAGTAAGTGTGTTTATCCCACTAAAACAAAACCTTTTCTTTTCTCAACAACCATTGAAAAGTTTCAACCAGTTTTTCACTGATGCTATGTTTGTGAGTTCAGGGTCTGACTTGTACCTAAGACATCAAAATAAAAGCTGAGTTGTCATCATTAGGTTTTCCCAATGTACTGATCATCTGACACACTGATAAGCTTGTGGTTCTTCTGGCTTGAGGGTGAATCTGTCTCAAATAATTTATAATTTTAAAGCAATTCCTTATAACACTTCTTAGAGGGTACTGGTAGATTACTGTATCTTTCCATATGATCTCTGGATGGATGAAGCTGCATTTATATCAAATGCTTCTATTCTTTGTGCCTATTTTGCTGCTGTTTTAGTAACCAGGGACTTACAATATGCCAGACGCTTTTCATACATCATCTTATTTTATCCTCATTAAAATTTTATCTCATATTCCAATTTTACAGATGAGAAAACTGAGGTTCAAGTGATGTTAAGAAATTTTCCAAAATCACAAAGGTAGTGACAGAGTTGGGCTTTGGCTCTATGCAAGAGTAAGTCCCAGGGCCATGTACTTAAAAACTTTGAAACTATACTTAAAAACCTTGTTTTCCTGCGTGTTCTCTAATGCCTTATGACCATCCACTCATTGAGGCATGCTTCTTAAAACCTAATATAGTGGTCCAAGCACGTGTGGTCATTTTAGAAGCATGAGAAAGAATTATTGAGAAGTAGCCTGGTTTAGATTGTTAGGACATAATGAAAGGATTATGTTTCTGAGTTAAGTACCATACAATCACTCCCAGCCCTAGCCAGTCCAGAAAGGATGACCAGAAGGTGTCGTCCTTTCATAGCAAAGACCTTTTGCTTAGGGATTTCTCTAAGTTAAACTAAGCAAAGGAGGAAGAGCAAGACAACACTGTGGCATTCATACCACTGCAGTTCCCGTGCCTTCTAGTTAGGCTGCAGACTCTATGCTGGTTCCTCAGTTCCGACTCTGTGCTACCTTTCCTGCCATCCCACCACCCCTCCTGCATAGCTTATGCCCTGTTCACTGTACACCCAGATACTGCTGCCATAGCCCTTGGTACATGTCACTGTACAGTCATGTGTGGCTTCATGATGGGCACACCTTCTGAGAATTGCATGTTAGGCAACTTTGTCATTGTGCAAATATCACAGACCGCACTTACGCAAACCTAGATGGTATGGCCTACTATACGTCTAGGCTAGATGGGATAGCTTATTGCTCCTAGGCTACAACCCTGTACAGCATATTACCGTACTAAATACCGTAGGCAGTTGTAGCACAATGGTTGAGTATTTGTGTATCTAAAAATAGAAAAGGTACAGTAAGTATACAGTATTATAATCATACAGGACCACCATAATACACAGTGCGTCATTGACCAAAATATCATTATGTGACACATGACCGTATTCACTTCTTTTTCATGTCTCTCACCCATGACTAGACTGCAAAGATACTTATTTATCCCTTACTAATTTATGCCATACCCTGGGCCTTAGTTTAGCGTCAGGTACATAGCAGGCACTAAATAAATGTTTGAGGCAGGAAGGTAGAGAGGAAAAAAGGGAAGAGAAGGAGAAAAGGTAGAAACAATGTAGAAATATAAATTGAGACTCAAATTATGTATGTCCTGGTTGACACGGCATCATTTTAAAATCATGTGGTGTATTTTCACCTTGGTAAAATAAAAGGGTTTATTGAAACTTTAAAATTACTGAACTATAATGCTTTAAGTAACCGTGGGAAAACAAACATTCAATATCACCTATGCAGTACAATAAAGCTTCATATATTTGGATTAATTGTGCCAAGAGTAAACCAAAATTCGAGAAATCCTAGAGCAGAGATTCCCAAAGTGTGGTGCCTGACCCCACCAGCAGCAGTGCCACTTGGGAGACGGTTAGAAGGCAAATTCACAGTCCCCACCCCAACCCACTGAGTCAGAAATTTCAGGGTTGGGGTCTGGCAATCTGTTTTAGGAAGCTTGTCCACCTTCCCCCTTTCCCCACAACCCCTTACTCTGGTGATTCTGATGCCTGCTAAAGGTTGAGTATCACTGGCTTAAAAATACTAGATAGAGTGGAGAGATGAAAACTTCATTGTTTAGGCAGACCTGTTTGAGCTTCCCCACCCTGCCATCAGATCCCAGGCTATTCTAGAGGCTTTAGTGCCACTGAATGGGCAGACGTCTTTGAACTTCATTATGAAGTTCTATGAAACAAGCCAGGTAAAGAGATGAGGGAAAAGGTGAGAAGAAGAGGGCTACAGAAAGTAGATTGCGGTATACAAAATATTAAGAAACTGGCTCAAGAACCTTTGCTAGATAAAAAACTAAAAAGTCAGACAGATGATTCCAGACCGGGCAGTGGAACCACAGATCCTTGACAAGCTGACTTGGTCTTGTCCTGAAGTGACCTGGAGCCAACATCTCCCCAGAGCTAGGGTTTGACTTTCCCCTGAGAGTTTCTTTTCACCTTGTCCTGTCAACTTGGCTGGGAAAGCTGGCTGAGCAAAGCCATATTGCAAGAAAGTTGAAATGTTTCTTCTGAAAAGAAAAATCAGGTCTTACTAAAGAATAAAAAATAAAGCTACTTGAAGTTTGAGAAGGTTATTTGCCACTGCTCAAGGTGCAAAGATTTCCAATTTAACACTAGCATAGTCCAATCCACCCAGGTTCTGTCCATTTGTCCTTGATTGGACATTATGAATCACAAGAAGAAAACTACTCCATTGTATGAATCACTGTCCCCATTCCCCTTTCCATTTCTGGTTCAATTGACACTTTTGTCTATCCACTCACAATAAGGTTAGCATGGCTTTGCTAGCTACTTATAAAGTTGTATTATCCAAAAAAAGGTGAAGCTCCAAGTGTGATATAAGGATGATCTACGATAGCTACTAAAGCTGAAGAAAGTTAGGATTATACAAACTTACTCCCAAATAAAAGCATGAGAAACATGTACATTACCAATGGAATTCTAAAAAATATATTCTATGTGGCTCTTCTCTCACTTCAAAGATAAAGGAAATTTTGAGAAAAACGTGAATGATATTTTGGGATGTTATGAAAACTTTAAGTACTATTTTTAGTACTATGAATAATTCTTGCAAAGCATAGAGTTATTTACTAAGCTGGAATGCCCTGGCTTTCTCCACATGTTCTGAAAAGAGCTCCATTCCTTTCAGGACCATAAACAATGGATCGTTAGCTTCTGGAATCATTGCATCTACATCCTGAAATAAGAGGAGAGGCACTGTTTTGTGCCTACATGTGATGAAGGCCTAAAGAAAACCCACTAGATTTCAAAGAAACTTTCTAGTTACCTTGAAAAATAAAGGCCAAAAATTTAAATGGAAAAATAATTTTGACATGTCAAGGACTGGATGGGGAGCTGGTTATGAAAGGCACGGAGAAGCAGCAGAGGTGGTTGACCAGAGACTTAAGATCAAGGCTGCCTTAATTTTTTTGTTAAAATAAAGTTCACACAGTATGAAATTTCCTTATTTAAACTGTATAATTTAATGGTTATTAGTATATTCACAAAATTGTGCAACCATCACCACTATCTAATTACACAACCTTTTCGTTACCCTCTCAAAAATCCTGTGCCTACTGGCAGTCACTCCCCATTCCCGCCTCGCCTAGCCCTTGACAACCACTAATAATATGTTTTCTACTTACTTGGAAATAAATGGAATAATAAAAGATGTAGCCTTTTTGTCTCACTATTTTTACTTAGTCTAACATTTTCAAGATTCAACAATGTTGTAGCATGTATCATTATGTCATTCTTTCTATTGATGGATAAGATTTCATTGTATGGTTATACATTACTTTTAATCCATTCATCAGTTGTTAGACTTTTTGTTTGTTTCCACTTTGGGTTATTATGAATAATGCTGCTACAAACATTTGTATACAGTTGGCCCTCTGAATCCACAAGTTCCACATGTGCATATTCAACCAACTGCTGATCAAAAATATTCAAAGATAAACAATATCACAATTTTTAAAAATAAAAATTTTTAAAAATACAGTATAACAATTTATGTAACATTTACATTGTATTAGGTATTATAATACAGAGATGTTTTAATTTATACAGGAGGATGTACATAGATTATATGCAAATATTACACCAGTTTCTATAAAGAACTTGAGCATACTCAGGTTTTAGTAACTGGGAATGGGGGAATTCCTAGAACCAATCCCCCGAGGATATGGAGAGATGGCTGTACACATTTTTGTGTAGACAGTTTCAATTATCTTGAATACATATCTAGGAGTGGAGCTGCTGGGTCACATGGCAGGTGATTATATATTTAACTTTTTGAGGACCTGTCAAATTATTTTCCAAAGTGTCTGTACCATTTTACATTCCCACTAGCAGTGTATTAGCGTTCTAATTGCTTTACAACCTCCTCAACTTTTATTATCTGTTTATTTGATTATAGCATCCCAGTGAATATGAAGTGATATCTCACTTTGGTTTTGATTCGTGTTTCTCTGACGGCTAATGATGTTGAGTATCTTTTTTTGTGCTTACTGACCATTTGTATATCTTCTTTGGAGAACATGCCTATTTGAATTTTTGTCCATTTTAAAATTGGGTTATTTGTTTTTTTTTTAATGGTTGAGTTGTAAGAAATGTTTATAACTGTGGATATTAGAACTTTATCAAATACATGACTTGCAAATATTTTCATCCATTCTGTGGGCTGCCTTTTTACTTTCTTTATGGTTTATTTTGAAGTGCAAATATTTTCAATTTTAATAAAATCCAATATATCTATTTTTTCTTTGGTTGCTTGTGCTTTTGGTAACATATCTAAAAAAATCATTGCCTAACCCAAGGACACAAAGACTTAAACCTATGTTTTCTCCTAAGAATTTTATAGTTTTAGCTCTCACATTTATGTCTGTGTTCTATTTTGAGTTAATTTTTGTATATAATGTGAGGTAGGGGTCCAACTTCACTCTTTTGCCAGTGGATATCCAGTTTTCCTATGCTTAATTTTCTTAATGTTCAGAGATAATATTGAACAGGGAAAAAGAGAAAGGCTTCTGTCATGAATATTGATTTTCATTGATGCCACTTGCTCCAAGCAGGTGCTAAATCTCACAGATGAAGGATGGATTCAAGGGGAGAGACCCCATCACCTGCAAGTTTCCCAGGGGTTATGAAAGCTCTCAGAACACCTTCGCATGACTTCCACCACTAGCAAGAGCGTCACTAAAGTCCACCTGAATCAGTTAGATACTATACAATTCACATTCGGATACTCTGATTTCTGACAACAATGAATTATATATAGCCAACTTGCTGTTTCTGCGCTTCATATTTAAGAAAAGTAAAAAAAAAAAATTGCAAAAAGAGAGCTGTACTACTTCTTTGACTTATAAAGGAATATGACAGCACTGGAGAACTGGCTTCAGACAGCCGAAGTTCTAGGTAAGATGGCTGCCATGAGAATTCCATAGATGTCACCAGCTAATCCTAAATAAAGGCGCATATCAGAGAATATTATACCTTTTGTGCATATTACAAATATTGGAAGGTAAAGCTGCAAGATATATCTACTCTGAGATTAGTTGAATATTTTGTTTTAGTATGAGAATGCAAGAACGTGTACCAAGAGACAGAAGAGCCAGAATTAAAATACACTTCAGGAATTGAAGAAATTCTTGAGATTCCATAAACTGTGAATCACAAATAACACTGAGCAATGGTCTCTGAATAGCAATCACAGTGTTTAACAACTGGATATTATAATGCTGATGGTACATCGGTTAGATCTGGTGGCAAGAGAGGAGTAGAGGTAGATAAGGTGGCAGAGGCAGGAGCTTGAATCAGAAGCCAGAGTGTGGCACTCAGAAGCCAGGAAACCAAAAGGGGTCATTTCAATACTAGGCAGTTTCTAGAGCAGGAATGATTCCTGAAAGGCAAGCAGATAAAACCAGGAACAGATGTTGCTATGGTGTGAATGTGTCTCCTCCAAAATTTATATTGAAAACCCCATAGTTTCAAATTTATATTGAAAACCCCAATTGTAGTATTAAAAGATGGGGGGTCTTTTAGAAAGTAATTACATCATGAAGGCTATTCCCTCATGAATTAATTAATGCCTAATGAAAGGGCTACAAGAAACTAGCTTAGGAATTTTTTGCCTGTCTGCCTTCTGCCATGTGAGGATACAGCATTTGCCCCTTTTGCCATGTGAGGGTGCAGCAATAAGGCCCTCACAAGACACCAAATGCCAGTACCTTGTTCTTGGACTTCCTAATCTTCAGAACTGTGAGAAATAAATCTATATTATTTATAAATTACCCAGCCTGTGATATTTAGTTATAACAGCACAAATGGACTAAGAAAGGTATTCTCAGAGACAAAGAATTATTTGGCCAGATGACAAAGTAGGTCAAGACCCCAAGGAATAAAAGAGTATCTTCATATTCTTAGGCCAAGGATAAAATAATATTTATTAAGTTTTATTCCTGCTATTCACATCACGATATTTCATCGTCAGATACATTAAAGATGCTGCCATAGATTTTCCTAGTACTCTAAAATTTCTTCGGGTGAGTTTCTGAAAGATGAGCCCCTCAGAATGAGAGCGATAATGGTGCTATTTTCTTCCTTCTACACTATTTTTACGTGGGTGGGATACAGTTTCCTGGATGAATGGCAAAGGAACTACTTTGGTCAACATCATATAAGCAACTGCAAATGATGGGCAAAGCACTATGCCAGATCATTATGATAGAGAGAGAATGAGGAGATAGAATACATCAATCAAAAAGTAAATAGGAATAAAAGGTAAGAGAGGGGTGGAGCAAAATGGCAGAATATGACTCTCCAGCAATTGTCCTCCCAGAGAAACATTAATTTGAATAACCGTGCATGAAAATACCTTCATAAGAGCTAAGGAAAACAATGGAGCAATCATAGAACCTGGTTGTAGCACAATAATAAGAAAATACACATTGAAGAGGGCAAAAGGGACAGTTTTATATTACCCACATCACCAATGCCAGGTGGCACAGTACAAAGAGAGTTACCATTAACTGGGGAGAAGGAGCGGGAAGCAAGCACAGGACTTTTCCTTGGATCCTAACACCAGGCTCATTAAAGTAAAATCCAGCACCAGGCAGGCCCTCATGACCCTAGATGCCAGCCTGGTACTTGCAAACTGAGCCTACAGACCTGCCCCAGCACCAGGCAGGATCCTGTAGCCTCCAGCTTTATGCCTGCTAGGTGGACTCAGTCTCTGATTCACACCACTATCATGCAGACTTCAGCAGCCTCAGATTCCAGACAGCTCTCAGTGGCAGGAGATTCCAGACAGCTCTCAGTGGCAGGCAGGCTTCAGCTGCCAAAGGCTTTCAGCCTGCTGAAGCCGCCTCAGGCTTCATGCATACCCCAACACCACATCAGCCACAGTGGACTGGGGCTTTGGAGCCATGCCAGATGGCTGCCCAGAATCTCTGGGTAAGATGAATGTGGAAGGGACTTATCAGACAAAGCTAGTCTGTGGAGACTGGAATAAGCATGTATATCCTTCAAATGCACAGACACTGATGCATGACCTTGAGAATCAAAAATAATCAGGCAAACATGACATTCCCAAAGGGTCAAAATAATGTGCCAGTGACTGACCCTACAGAAAAGGAGATATATGAACTGCCTGACAAAGAATTCAAAATAATTGTTTTGAGGATGCTTAGCAAACTTCAAGAAAATACAGAGAAACAATTCAATGAAATAAGGAAAACAATAAGTGGCCAGAATAAGACATTTAACAGGGAGGCTGAAATGATTTTAAAAAAACAAACAAAAATACTGGAACTGAAAGACACAAAAACAAAATGAAAAATGGAACAGAGAACATCAACAGCAGAATTGATCAAGCAGAAGAACTTATGAACTTGAAGACAGGTAATTTGAAAATATAAGGGGAAATATAATAAATATATTAATATAATATATAATAAATACATTAATATCTTATACATTTATATATTAATTATATATTATATATTAATATAATATATAATATAATAAATATATTATTAAAATAATAAATATAAAAACAATGTAAGGGAAAAAAGAATGAAAAGGAATAAAGAAAGCTTATGGGATTCACAGAATAGAATTAAAGGGTAAATTTTGAGTCTCAGGAGTTTAAGAAGGAGTAAAAAAGATAAAAGGGTAGAAAGCTTATTTAAAGACATACTATCATGAACCACATAATGATGTTTTGGTCAACAATGCATCATATGTATGATGGTGGCCCCATAAGATTATTAGAGTTGAAAAATTCCTATAAGTTAGTGACATCACAGTTGTTGTAACATCATACTGCAGTACATTACACATGTTTGTGGTGCTATTGGTGTTTACAAACCCACTGCACTGCCAGTCATATAAAAATATAGTACATATAATTATGTACATTATATATTTGATAATGATAATAAATGACTATGATATTGGTTTATGTATTTACCATACTTTTGATTGTTATTTTAGAGTGTACTCTTTCTACTTATTAAAAAAAGTTTACTGTACAACAGGATGCAGTGTTATGCCAGCAGCAGCCACATACATCTCATGATTACTATGTCTCATTGATGCATCATTTTCTCTTGTGCTTGACTTAATCTCAAGTTATTTTGTTCATCACGGCCCCTAAGCATACAAAATCCACTGCTAATGTTACCAGTAAGAGGCCATATCAAGTGATTGACCTGGAAATAAAGTTAAAAGTAATTAAGGACTACAAAGGTGGAAAATCAGTTATGACTATTGCTCACTAGTCAGGCCTGTCCCTTTCAGCCACAGCTATTATCTCTCTTGAAGAACAAGAACAAAGTGATGGAATCTGTTAAAGGATCTACTTCATTGAAGGCAACTAGACTAACAAATACTCAAGAAGGGCCTATATCAGATATGAAAAAATCTTCTAATGACCTGGATTGAAAACCAGGCATAGAATTGTATCCCTCTCAGGACCACAATGATCACAGACAAAGCAAAGAGTTTGTGACGTTGAAAGAAAAGGCTAGATGTGACTATGATGCTGAATTTACTGCTAGTCTAGGTAGTTTAAATGATTTAAGAATCTTTATTCACTACATAATGTGAAAGTGATGGGTGAGTCTGCAGGTGCTGATGTGAAGACAGTTGAAGAATTTTTAGAAACTCTAGATAAGCTGATTGTGGAGGAAAATTACTTGTCAGAGTGAATCTTCAATACGGATGAAACCTCCCTATGGTGGAAACAATGCCTGAAAGGACTTACATCCATAAAAAGGCTAAGTTAACATCACATTTCAAGGCATTCAAGGACAGGATAAGAGTCTTGCTTGGGGGCAATATTGCAGGCTACAAATTGAAACCCATTATGTTCTGCACAGTGAGAACCCTAGAGTCTTCAATATCAATAAGCACACATTGCCAGTGTACTACAGGAACAATAAGAAGTCATGCATGACCCAGCTCCTCTTCCAAAGTGCCCTCCTGAATTGCAATGCCAACAAAATGAAAAATTCCTGTTTAGAGAATAACATATCTGTCAAGATTTTATCATTAATAATGTTTCTGCACATACTCCTTTTATTGGTGATCTTCATCCCAAATAAAAGAGGTGTTTCTCCCTCAAAATACCACCTCTTTGATCCAACCAATGAATCAAAAAATTATAGCAGCTTTTGAGGCCTACTACCTAATGAAGACCTTTATCCAAGCTATTGCTGCAACTAAAGGAGGCACTGAGAAGACACAGGTGCAATTCTGGAAGGATTACAACATCTATGACTGCGTCAAGAACCTTGCTTGGGCTTAGAGTTATGTCACCAAGGAGTGTATGAATGACTTCGGGAAAACACTCAAGCGTCTTCTCCATGACATCAAAGGATTTGGTAAGGATGAAGAAGCTACAAATGTCAACAAGGCTATGGTTGAGATGGCAAACCAACTTTTTCTTTTTTTCTTTTTTTTTTCTGAGACGGATTCTCACTCTGTCGCCCAGGCTGGAGTACAGTGATGTGATCTTGGCTCATTGCAACCTCTGCCCCCCGGATTCAAGCGATTCTCCTGCCTCAGCCTCCCAAGTAGCTGAGATTACAGGCGCCTGCCACCACGCCCTGCTAATTTTTGTATTTTTAGTAGAGATGGGGTTTCACCATCTTGGCCAGACTGGTCTTGAACTTCTGACCTCGTGATCCACCTGCCTCAGCCTCCCAAAGTGCTGGGATTACAGGCGTGAGCCACCACACCCGGCCAGCAAACCAAATTTAACCTGGGTTGGAATTAGGATGGCATTGAGGAATCCCTAGAGGTGATTCCTGAGGAACTGACTAATGAAGAGTTGTTAAACCTGAAACAGGAACACACAGCTGAAGAAGAAAATGAAAAGTGAAAAGTTTACAAAAATATTTTTCAGACCTCAACAGCAACCATAAAAATTTTGAAAATGAACCTTAACACCAAAATGTTTTCATTAATAGAAAGGAATGTCTGTAGTACATTATCTGCTTACAAGCGAATGTATGATGAAAAAAAGAAACGGCCATCGACATATTTCTGAAAAGTGTGACATTTCTAATGAAGAGCCTCAGCCAGGTCCTTCAGGAGGTATTCCAGAAGAAGGCATTATTATCATAGAATATTACAGCTTCATGTGTATTATTGCCCCTGAAGACCGTCCAGGGGGACAACATGTGGAGGTGAAAGACAGTGATATTAATGACCCTCACACTGTGTATGCTTACGCTAATGTGCATGTTTATGTCACAGTTCTTAACAAAAAAGTTTAAAAAGGAAAAAAAAAGTTAAATAGAAAAATCTTACAGAATATTAAAAAAAACAGTATTTTTGTACTGCTGTAGAATGTATTTGTGTTTTAAGCTAAATGTTATCACAAAAGAGTCAACAAGCTAAAAAGATTACAAAGCTTATAAAGTAAAAAAGTCACAGTAAACTGAGGTTAATTTACTATTGAAGAAAGGAAAAAATTATAAATTTAGTACAGCCTAAGTGTAGTATTTATAAAGTCTATGGTGTACAGTAATGTCCTAGACCTTCACATTCACTTACCACTCACTCACTAACTAACCCAGAGCAACTTCCAGTCCTATAAGCTCCATTCATGGTAAGTTCCTATACAGGTATACCATTTTTTATCTTTTATACCATATTTTTACTGTACCTTTTCCATGTTTAGATACGGTTAAGATACACAGATATTTACCATTGTTCTACAACTGCCTATAGTATTCAATATAGTAACATGTCATACAGGTTTGTAGCCTAAGAGCAATAGGCTATACCTTACCGCCTAGGAGCATCATAGGGGATATATTCCATCAACGCTTGTGTAAGTACATTCTATGATGTTTTCCCAATGGCAAAATCACCAAACAATGCATTTCTCAGAACATATCTCCATCATTAAGCAACACATGACTTTAACAGCAGAAAGCTTTCCAAATTTGGAGAAAAATGTAAATATCCAGGTACAGGATGATCAATGGTCTCCAGTCAGATTCAATCCAAACAAAGCTACCCAAAGTAATCTTGTAATCAAACTGTCAAAAACCAAAGACAAAGAGAGGATTCTGAAGATAGAAAGGGAAGCAAATAACACATAATGGATTTCGAATATGACTAGCAGCAAATTTCTCAGCAGAAATTGTACAGATCAGGAGAGAGTGGGTTGATATATTCAAAGTATGAAAGGGAAAAAAAATCTGCAAAGTAAGAACACTGTATCCAGCAAAACTGTCCTTCAGAAATGAAGTATAAATAAAGATTTTCCCAAACAAAAACTGAAGGAGTTCATCACCATCAGACGTGTTTTACAAGAAAAACTGAAGGGAGTTCTTCAAGCTGACAGAAAAGGATGCTAATGAAAATAAAATTAAGTTTAGCCTAAAGCTGTCTCCTTATATATTTTAAGTTCTGCCTAATGGTTCCTTCATACATAGTGAACAGCAACCTATCGGGATGTGTAAATAGACTGTAACCTACTCTCATACCTATCACCAAGCTTTGGCCAATAAAAGGTAGCCAACTGTTTATATTGTGCTCAATTGTGGCATGCTGAGCTATAGCCAATTCATCTGTTTCTGTACCTCACTTCCATTTTCTGTACGTCACTATTTTTTTTGTGTCTGTAAATCCTCTCCAATCATGCAGCAGCATAAAGTTGCTCTGAATCTATTCTGGTTGAGGGGCCTACCTGATTTGTGAACTGTTCGTTGCTCAATTAAACTGTATTAAATTTAATTTGTGTTAAATCTTTATTTTAACACGAGTAACACAAAAACATCTGAAACTAAGAAACTCACTGTTAAAAGTGAGTTAAGTGCACAGTCAAATTCAGAATAATCTAATACTGCAATGGTGGTGTGTAAATCACTAACATTTTTAACATGAAGGTTAAAAGAAAAACTATTAAAAATAACAAGAGAAACAATAATTTGTTAAGGGATATGCAATATAAGAAAATACATATTGTGACACAGAGTCAAAATGTGGGAGGAGAGTGTAGTAAAAGTACAGAGTTTTCTTCTTGCAATCAAAATTCAGTTGTTATCACCTTAATATAATATAAACTATCTATACCTATGTTTGCTGTAAGCCTCATGGTAACCACAAAGCAAAAACCTATAGTAGATACACAAAAAATAAAAAGCATGAAATAAAAACATACCACCAGAGAAAATCACTTAACTACAAAGGAACACAGCAAGACAGGAAGAAAAGAACAGAGGGTCTACAAAACAAGTAAAAAATAATTAACAAAATGTTAGTAGAATATTTGTATCTATCAATTATTATCTTGAATATAAATGGATTAAATTCTCCAATCAAAAGACATAAGTGGCTGAATGGATAAAAAATACGCTGCCTACAAGAGACTCACTTCACTTGTAAGGACACACACAGACTGAAAGTGAAGAGATGAAAAAATATATATTCCATGCAAATATAAACCAAAAGAGGGAGGAGTAGCTATACATGTTAGACATGTTAAAATAGACTTTAAGTCAAAACGTAAAAAGAGACAAAGAAGGTCATCATATGAGGATAAAGGGATCAATTCCACAGTTGTTATATCCATAACATTTATAAATGTATATGGACCTGACATGGGAATATCTACATATAGAAAGCAAATATTAATAGATCTGAAGAGAGAGATAGGCTGCAATAAAATAATCGTAGGGGACATCAACATCCCACTATTGGCAGACAGAAAATCAATAAAGACACATAAGGTTTAAATTACACAATAGACCAAATAGACCTAGCAGACATAAACAGAACATTCCATCCATCAGTTGTAGGATATACATTCTTCTCAACTGCACATGGAACATTTTCTAGAAAAGATCATTGTTAGGCCACAAAAAAAGTCCTAATAAATCTAATGTCTTACTTTATTTTGTGCTATTATAACAGAATACCACAAACTGGCTAATTTATAATGAACAGCAATTTATTGGCTCACAGTTCTGGAGGCTGGGATGTCTAAGATTGAGGATCAAGGGACCAAATATGGCAAGAGCTTTCTTGCCATGTCATCCCCTGGTAGACGGGCAAGAAGAGGGTAAGAGAGACAAAGGGGAGCTGAACTTGTCCTTTTATAAGGAATCCACTCTTATAATAACAAACCCATTCCCATGATAATGACATTTATCTGTTCATGAAGGAAAGGCTCTCATGACCTAATGACCTCTTAAAGATCTCACTTCTTAATACTGTCACAATGGCAATTAAATTTCAACATGAGTTTAGGAGACAAACATTTAAACCATAGCATCTAAAAAAACTAAAATCTTATCAAGTATCTTTTCTGTCCACAATGGTATAAAACTAGAAGTCAATAACAGAAGGAATTTCAGAAAATTCACAAATAAATGAAAATTAAACAATACCCTTCTGAGCAACCAAAGGGTCAAAGAGGAATTAAAAGAGAAATGTAAAAATTTCTTGAGACAAACAAAAATGGAAACACAACGCACAAAAACATGGAATAAAAGTTTATAGCAATAAATATCTACATCAAAAAAGAAGAAATTAAATAATCTAATGTTTCACCTTAAGGAACTAGAGAAACAAGAACAAATGAAGCTCAAAGTTAATAGAAGGAAATAAAAATTAGAGAAGACACCGGGTGCGGTGGCTCACGCCTGTAATCCCAGCACTTCAGGAGGCCAAGGCAGGCAGATCACCTGAGGTCAGGAGTTCAAGACCACCTGGCCAAAATGGTGAAACCCCATCTCTACTAATAACACAAAAATCAGCTGGGTGTGGTGGCGGGCACCTGTAATCCTCGCTACCCGGGAGGCTGAGGCAGGAGAATCGCTTGAACCCAGGAGGCAGAGGTTGCAGTGAGCCAAGATTGTGCCATTACCTCCAGCCTGGGCGACAAAGTGAGACTCCATCTCAAAATAATAATAATAATAAATAAATTAGAGAAGAAAAATAAAGACTAGAAAAACAGTACAAAAGATTGATGAAGAATTAATGTTTTTGAAAAGATAAAATTGACAAACTTTTAGCTGGGCTAACTAAGGAAAAAAGAGAAGACTTAAATAAAATCAAAAATATAAAAGAAGATATTATAACTGGTAAAACATAAATACAAAGAATCATAAAAGACTATTATGAACAATTATATGACAACAAATAGAATAACCCAAAAGAAATGGATAAATTCCTTGACATCTACAATCTATCAAAAAATTAATTACGAAGAAACAGAAAATCAGAAGAGGCCAATAATGAGTAAGGAGATTGAATCAGTAATAAAGAAGTCTCCAATCAAAGAAAAGCCCAGGGCTTTTTACTTTCACTGCTGAATTGTAACAAACATTTAAAGAAGAACTAATAGCAATTTTTTCTCTGTTGCAAAAAACTGAAGAGAGGGACACTTCCAGGCTCATTTTATGAAGCCAGCATTACCCTGATACCAAAGCCAGATAAGAATGTTATTGAAAAAAGAAAACTGGCTGGGCATGGTGGCTCACACCTGTAATCCCAGCACTTTGTGAGGCCAAGGAGGGCGGATCACCTAAGGTCAGGAGTTCAAGACCAGCAAGACCAACATGGAGAAACCCCGTCTCCACTAAAAATACAAAATTAGCCAGGCGTGGTGGCACATGCCTCTAAACCCAGCTAGTTGGGAGGCTGAGGCAGGAGAATCACTTGAACCCAGGAGGCAGAGGTTGCAGTGAGCCGAGATCATGACATTGCACACCAGCCTGGGCAACAAGAGCGAAACTCTGGTCTAAAAAAAAGAAGACTATAGTCATATATCTCTGATGAACACAGATGCAAAAATCCTCAACAAAATACTAGCAAATCAAATTCAATAGCACACTATAAAGACCATTCACTATGATTAAGTGGGATTCATCCCAGAGATGCAAAGATAGTCCCATGAACGCAAATCAATACAGTAGCCCCTCTTTATCCAAGGTTTTGCTTTCCATAGTTTCAGTTACCCACAGTCAACTGTGATCTAAAAATATTAAACACAAAATTCCAGAAATAAACAATTCATAAGTTTTAAATTGCACCCTGTTCTGAATAGCATGATAAAATCTTGCGCTGTCCCACTTCACCCTGCCTGGGACATCAATCATCCCTTTGTCCAGCATATCCATGCTGTATATGCTACCCACAAATGAGTCAGTTAGTATTCATCTCAGTTATCAGATCAAATGTTGTGATATTGGCCAGGCATGGTGGCTCATGTCTGCAATCCCAACACTTTGGGAGGCCAAGGCTGGAGGATTGCTTGAGGCCAGGGGTTTGAGACCAGCCTGGGCAACAAAGTGAGACCTCTTCTGTTCAAAAAATCAAAAAATTAGCCAGGTGTGTAGGGTACGCTGTGGTCCCAGCTGCACGGCAGGCTGAGGCAGGAGGATCGCAGGAGGTTGAGGTTGCAGTGGGCTGCATTCACAAACACTGTACTCCAGCCTGGGTGACAGAGTGAGACCCTGTCTCAAGGAAAAAAAAAAGTTGTGGTATTACAGTGCTTCTGTTCAAGTAACCCTTATTTTACTTAATAATGGCCCCAAAGCACAAGAGTAGTGATGCTGGCAATTTGCTTATGTCAAAGAGAAACTGTAAAACGTTTCATTTATGTGAAAAGGTACACATTCTCAATAAGGAAAGAAGAAAAATCACATGGTGGGGCTGCTAAGTTCTATGGTAAGAATGAATCGTTTATCTGTGAAATTGTGAAGAAGGAAAAGGAAACCCTTGCTAGTTTTGCTGACAGATCTTAAACTGCAAAAGTTATGGCCACAATGCATGACACATGCTTAGTTAAGATGGAAAAGGCATTACATTTGTGTGTGTGGCAGGCAAACATGAACAGAAACATGGTCTGACTGGTAATTGGGCTCAGTACTATCCATGGTTTCAGGCATTCACTGACAGTCTTGAAACATATCCTCCACATAGAAGAGAGGACTACTATAAATGTACAAAAACTTTTATGATCATTTCAATAGATGCAAAAAGAGCAGTTGGCAAAATTCAATACCCTTTCATGATAAAAACCCTCAATAAATTAGGTATAGAAGGAATGCACCTCCACATAAAAAGGCCATATATGACAAACCCACAGCAAACATCATACTCAATAGGGAAAAGTTGGAAGCTTTTCCTTAAAGATCTGGTACAAGGCAAAGATATGCAGTTTTGCTACTTCTATTCAGCATAGTCCTGGAAGTCCTAGCAAAACAATTAGGCAAGAGAAAGAAACAAAAGGGATCCAAATCTGAAAAGAATAAGTTAAATTGCTCCCATTTGCAGACAACATAATCTTTTATATAGAAAACCCTAAAGACTTCACTAAAAAACCTTCAGAAATAATAAACAAATGCCGTTAACTTGTAGGATGAAAAGTCAATATACAAAAATTAGTAGCATTTCTACACACTAACAGTGAACTGAGTAAAAAATCAAGAAAACAATTTACAATAGAGACCAAAATAACACAGCACTTAGGAATAAATCTAACAAAGATAAAAGATCTCTATACTGAAAACTATAAAATACTGATGAGAGAAATTGAAGAAGACACAAATAAATTGATAGATATTCCATGCTTATGGATTGGAAGAATTAATATTGTCAAAATGCCCATATTACTCAAAGTGACCTACAAATTCTATGTAATCTCTATCAAAATACCAGCGAAATTTTTTACAGAACTAGGAAAAACGATCCTAAAATTCATATGAAACCACAAAAGACCCCAAACAGTTAAAGCAACATTGAGCAAAAAGAACAAAGCTGAAGGCATCACACTACCTGACTTCAAAATATACTACAAACCTTAAGTAATCAGAACAGCATGGTACTGGCATAAAAACATACATACAGACCAATGGAACAGAACTGAGAGCCCACAAATAAATCTACACATTTACAGCCAACCAATTTTTTTTATGCAGGTGGCAAGAACACACTATAGGGAAAGAACAGTCTTTGCAACAAATGGTGTTGGAAAACTGGATATCCACATGCAGAAGAATAAAATTAGACCTTTATCTTACACCATATCCAAAAAACTCCCTCAAAATTGATTAAAGACTTAATTGTAAAATATGAAACTACTATAAGAAAACCTAACAAGAAAGCTCCGTGACATTGTTCTGGACAAGGATTTTTGGGAAATGACCTCAAAAGCACATGCTGCAAAAGCAAAAACAGACAAATGGAGTTACATCAAACTAAAAAGCTTCTCAACAGAAAAAGAAACAATCAACAGAATAAAGAGACAATGTACAAAATGGGAGAAAATATTTGCAAACTTACATCTGATTAAGGGATAATATCCAAAATATATAAGGAACTCAATTTAATAGCAAGAAAACAATAACCAGATTTTGAAATGGGCAAAGGATCTGAGTAGACATCTCTTTAAAGAAGACATACAGATGGTCAATGAGTATCTGAAAAAATGCTCAACATCATTAATCATCAGGGAAATGCAAATTAAAAACTACAATGAGCTATCACCTTATACATGTTAGAATGGCTATGATCAGAAGGACAAAAGACAGCAAATATTGGCAAGATTGTGGAGAAAAGGGAATCCTTGCACACAGTTGGTGGTAATGTACATTAGTATAGCCATTATGGCAAACAGTATAAATGTTACTCAAAAATTAAAAATAGAACTTCTGTATGATCCAGCAATCCCACTACTAGATAAATATCCAATGAAAATAAAATAAGCATGTCAGAGAGGTATTTGTACCCCCATGTTCACTGCAGTATCATTCACAATAGCCAAGATATGAAATCAACCTATGTGTTTATCAAAAGATGAATAGGTAAGGAAAATGTGGCTTACACAATGGAATACTATTCAGCCATAATAAAGACAATCCTGTCATTTGCAACGATATAGATGAACCAGGAGAGCATTTTGTTAAGTGAAATAAGCGAGGTACAGAACAACAAGTACTGTATGAGTTCACTCATGTGGAATCTTAAAAAGTTCATGTCATAAAGTAGACAGTAGGAAGGTAAGGTTATCAGGGGCTGGGGCAGTTGAGGAAGGAAAGATGGGAGATGTTGGTCAAAGGATACAAAATTTCAGCTATACAGGAAAAGTAAGTTCAAGAGATCTATTGTATAACATGATGACTATAGGTAATAACAGTATACAGATGTTTCTGAACTTACAATTGGGTTTCATTCCAATAAACCCATTGTAAAGTTAAAAAAAAAAAAAAAAACAACTGTAAGTCAAACACCAGTGTAAATCAGGGACCATTTGTATTGTGTTACTGAAAAATGGTAAGACGGTGGATGTTAAGTGTTCTCACCATAACTATGATAACTATGTGAGGTAATGCATATGCTAATTAGCTATATTTAGTTACTCCACAATGCATATATAATTCAATACATCATGCTGTAGATGGTAAATACATACAATTTTATTTGTAAATTAAAAAATAAAGTCAAAAAAAGAAGAAAAGGTAGCATATAATAAGAGCCAACATGGGTGAGTCACATAATAAGTAAGGCAGGAGAGTATAATGGGTGGATTATTGTGGATAAGTGAAATAGAATTTCATAGAGAATAGAAGCTCTGGTGTGAATTTCAAGGATAGGCAGGAATCAGTTAAGTGGAAAGGAATGGGGACAATATCCTAGCGAGATCTCCTGGCATATACAAAGATCTGGAGACTAAATTCACATTTTATGTCTGAGAGACAAGGTTTTCAGAATATAAGTTTTGATTTGAGAGCAAGAGAAGATAAATTTAGAGAGGTATATTGAGGCCAGATTAGTAGAGGGTTTTAAGTATCAGGTTAAAGAATTTGGACTTTATGCTGTAGACAGTGAGGAGTTATTAAAAGTTGCTGGGTAAGAAATTGACAGCTGCAAGACAACATTTAAAACATGTTTGTATAGAAACTATGTAAAAAAATATAGTCTAAACCCTTCTCTGACAAATGAGGGGCCAATGTTAGGTGTGGAAAGTCACTGGACCTTAGAAGCTGAGGGTGGAGAAAATGGAATTGAGAAACAACCTACAAGCAAAGGCGGATGGTTGGGTAGGTTTAGGAACAAAACCGAATCTAGGATAAACAATTCAAAGGGAGCAGCCAGAGAAAAGATCTGTGATTGATGGTCTAACGAAGTGTGGAGATTTGGTCCAGGGTGACGAGAAAGCACTAAGTGGCAACAGCACTGGAATGGAAAGAATGCTGCAAATTGGAGACTTTGGAAAAGAATTTAGGACAGATCTTAGTTTACTTGATATGGAGGGTGAAGAAAAGGAAACAAATTAGAGATTATTTCAAAGGTTCACACCATGTAGGAAGAAAAGTGACTGGTGTAACTGGAAGACATAAAGAAATCTAGAGAAATACCTTTTCTTTGGGGTTAACAAAATGCATACTTGGTGGATGAGTTTGTGATAAGGGCTTTTCTGATCATAAGAAATGCAGGACCAAAGGTCAGAGAAGACAAAATTCAAAATGAGGACCTGGGAGCCACCCAATGGAGTCATAGAGAAAATGTTGGATCTATAGAAAAAGAGAATGTAGAAAGCTAATGGCACAGGAACTCATGTAATATGACAGACATTTTACAATGACAGAGTTAATTTGTTTTTCAACTACTGAATTCTAATGTACTGAGGTGTCAAGGTGTAACATCTGAAGGACTGATTCTTAGAGAGTTGGGTATGGGATACCACATGGAGGAATGGTGAGCATGGGGCACCACACTGAGGACATGAACCTGGCCTTGTGGCCCCCTTCGTCACACACACACACACACACACACACACACACACACACACAGAGAGAGAGATTTATCATTTATGTTCAGAATGGGTATTTTTCTCCAAGTACTGGGAAACAGCTTGATGGTTGACTTTTTCTGACTACTTCAAGAAGGATGAGCTTCCATTCTTCTATGTTCACATTTAAAAAGTCATTTTAGGAAGTATTTATTTCATTTCCATGGTATTTGCTTCTTACTGTGCAGAGATATTAGTTTGGCAGCAAAAGCATTTTTCCTGAACAGAAGCAAATGTCAAGTCTGGCTCAATCAATAGGCACAACCAAAGGGTTAGCTTTGAATTTCATAACACAAGTAAATTTCTAGGATGAGAGAAGAATCAAAATAGTCATGATTATAATAGAACTTGGCAACACTGGAAGAGGTTCTGCTATTAAGGGCTCACTTTACAAAGGACATTAAAAGTTCAGAATAGTAAGGATGGAAGGTACAGAAGTGTGTTTTCTCCAATAATATATATAAATGACAATGATTATATTAAAAATTATATAGGAATGACCTTTTACTACCTTGATACTTATGAAAAAGCTTCCATAGAATTTGTACCAACATAAAACTATAAAATTATAGAATTCTTCAAGTCACTGGGTACCAAAGTATAAGCACACCTCCTTAACAATTGGCCTACATCTTTCTGAAATTGAATGAAAAAGAAATATTGTTCTTTGAAAATCCAGTTGCTACTATGGAATGGAAAATGCCCTATAATTGCTTACTCAAGATTCTTGAGGGTAGAGAACAAACACTTGGTGATAGAAGCTTCTCAAGAAATGTTTGGGGACAAATAAATGATTATTACAAATGGTGAGCAAAATGCTTCCTTCCTCTCTTGTGACAAAATTTTGATTGGTTCTGTTAAAACCAATTTATAACAGTTCTTCATGGGTCAGAATATAAATCTATATTTATAGATTCTGAAATACATTTTGCTACTACATTTTGATACACATACATATTACAAGATGCTGTTTCATATTTCAATTTCTGTGGAAAGTGTGATTGAGTGTTACTGAAGAGGCAGAGGTTGTCAACTTGCTCAAAGAATTCAACTGGCATTATTCTCAAGAACATACCAGGCATTGTTACATGACAAACCTTGAAAATTAATTCAAATCAGATATCTAAACTTAATGCATACGAATATTTGACAAAGCTTGGAGAATAAGCCAAATGAAGGTCTTTCTTCATTAAAGGCTAATGGGGTTACATCTGTTCTGTTAGGCAAATGGCAATAACTTTAAAATGTAAAAAGACCTCTAGAACTTTCCTAGTTAGATTTTCTGTAATACCTACCACCATCCTGAGGATTATATGCTTCTCTCATTTCTTTATATAGTTGGTTTTACTTCTATTCTTGACAGAGTGATCTCTTTATTTCACCATAGCAGTTTGGAATGGTGCCTGGTAGACTCTAGAGTAATACACATTCTCTCTTTCAGCCAAGAATGCAAAGAAGACAGTTTAGAGAAAGAAGAGGTCACCACCTACTAGTGAAACCACCTTTGCAAAAATTATAACAGTGAGAAAATTATGACAGTGAAAGAGATCTGATCTGACCAACTCTCATCTTGCCTTTAACCTTCAAACTGTACTTGGTCATTCCTGGGCTTGGGCCAAACTACTTTGGAATAAATTTAGCTTATAGTTTAAATGAAAATAGCCATTTCCCAAAATTATACTACTGTTATAAACTAATGAAAGGTCATCAGGTTAGGAAAATGAGAGGGGCCTGAATTCTGCTAAGATGTAGGGATAGTTAAACGATTACCAGCCATTATTCTGGAGGTCACAAGATTTGCAGCTTCCCCAATTCACTACTGTACAATCTAAGATTGGCCTTTTAAAATGTCTTTTTAGGCTTCTGCATTTCTGACAATCTGATGGCACCACCCAGACCCTGGACTCTTGGTTCCACCAGTCCGTCCTGGGGCCCCCACCCAGAAAACAGACTCAGTGGTTGAGGACCATTTTCCACACCCCTACGATTGCACCCCCAACCAATCAAAAGAACCCATTCCTCTAACCCCCCGCCGCCCGACCCACTAAACTATCCTTAAAACACCCTAGTCTCCGAATTTTGCAGGGGACTATGTGAGTAGTAACTCTGTCTCCCATGTGGCATAGCAGGCCTTCATCAATTAAATTCTTTACTGCAATGCCTTGGTCTCAGTGAACTGGTTTTGTCTGTGCAGCAGGCAGGAAGAATCCACTAGGCAAGTACATTAACAGTGTCTCTCAAACATTGAAAATAAAATCTAAGTTCTTTCTTCTGTGAAGGAACAGCCAAATCCTTGCTCACAGCTTCATGGTTTTCCTTCATTCTCTTTGCTTCCTAATATTTTTAAAAACTCTATCAAGAGTTTGATATACTAATACGTAAAGGAAATATAATCACGAGGCTTCTGAAGCCAATAAATATTCTATAAGGTACTAGGTTTAATAATTTGGAGTGAAGGGCCACAAAATACCCTCATTGCTCATTGTTATCTATATAAAGTTGAGAATCTTTTCTTCTCTCCCAGCCCTGCTCTTCTTATGTTGTTCTCAGCCCATCTTCTGGAAGACTGGTAATCTCATGGGAATATTTGCATTTATGTTCTCTTCATAAGACACACCAAAAAACATTTTAAACATAATCCCTCCCTCAAATTTTCCCATTGCAGTTCCAAATTTCAATGACATATTTATTCACTTCCAAGCTATATTAGTTCTTTCTCTCCTGTGATCCTTTAACTTACTCTTTTTATCCTGTTATTTCATCTTTCCCTTTCAGTATCTTCAATTCACCTAATCTATTATAATGGCCTAAGAAAGAAAGCAAAGCATTTTTGGTACTTCCGTATGTATTTGCCTGGTAAAAAGACAAGTTGAGTTGCACTTATTTTCTCATTTTATTTACAATTTTCTTGAAGTCATTTTTTTTTCTGAAAGCCATATCATCTCCCTTTTTTCTCTCTGCTGCCATTTGCTTTGCTAATCACATAGTTAACATACAAACCAGAATCAAGTGACACATTTGTGTTTCCGGCCAAAATGGAGTAATAGAGACCAAATTTACCCAGAAACCTGAAATTTAAAATATGTAATGCTGAATAAAACAACTTACAGGCCACTAGAGGTCAGGCAATGAGGAACAGTGATACATGAGGGAGGGACACAAGTAAGAGGAGCCCTACAACTGCCCCAAGTTACAGCATTGAGAGAGTTTCCAGGCCATGGTGTAGGGAGGAAACTCAGGTGAAATCCAGCAGACTCTCTAAGTTGTAGAGACAGAGTTGAGAGTCCAGGGAGACCAGGCAGTTAGAATTCACAGGAAAATACGGCAGAGAGAAGAAATCTGCACAAAAGAAAACTCAGAAGTTTGCCTTTGAGAATTCAGCTCAGCATTGATCAGTACATTTATGTGAAGAAACTACCTGAGGCCAAGGAAAGAATGATCTGGAAACAATTACAGATAACAGTTCTGGGCATTTACACAAGAATAAGAATAGTTTCTGTTCACGCCAGTCAAACTGGAAAACCTTAAGATTTATGGGGCAATGTGTAGAATACATGTAAGGGACTTGCTTCAGTAGCAGGAATTAGCCCTAAGCTGAGCACTGCTCCTGTCCCAACTAAAAAATCTTAAAAGCAAGACCTTAAAAGATAAAACTTGGTCAAAGTTAATTTACTATATCTCAGAACAAATCACAAGAAAATTATAGAAATTCAAGTATCTGAAACCTAAAAAAAAAAATTCACAATGTCTAATATAAATAAAAAATTACCAAACATGCAGGAGTACTTCAGCAAAAAAACAGAATAGGAGGCTGAGAACTCTCACTCCACCCATAGAGCATCAAATAAACAGCTATACATGAATCGACATCCTCTGAGAAAAATACAGAAACTAGTGGAGAGATTTCTGTATGTCGGATGGCTGAGAAAATTCCCACTTCAGCACAGGTAATGTAATGCCCAACCTTGTTTTTTCCTTCATTCACCTAGCCTTGTTTCTCCCTTAGCTAAGAGAACCAGACAAACTCCATCCTGGCTCTTTCACTGGCAGCCCCTTCCTCAAGGACTTAACTTGTGCAAGCTGACTCCCAGCACATCCAAGAATGCAATTAACTGATAAGATACTGTGGCAAGCTATATCTGCAGTCCCCAAGAATTCGTCTGATTGATAATGCCCAAAGCCCCACGTCTATCACCTTGTAATAGTCTTAAAGCCCCCGCACCTGGAACTGTTTACTTTCCTGTAACCATTTATCCTTTTAACTTTTTGACTACTTAACTTATGTAAAATTGTTCTAACTAGACCCCTCCCCTTCCTAAACCAAGGTATAAAAATTAATCAAGCCCCTTCCTAGGGGCCGAGAGAACTTTGGGCATTAGCTGTCTCTCCGTCCACGGCTAATAAAGGACTCTTAATTTGTCTCAAATGTGGCGTTTCCCTAACTCGCTCGGGTGCAACAGTAAGAAAAGCTGAGACATATTCTCACTCTCACCATAAACCCTACCCTCAGCCCAGCACTATACAATTGAGGGGAACCTCCATCTCTCAGTTTCTCCCTGAGGAGTAAAGGGTTTGAACCGTACACACAATACCCCAACTTTTAAAACCACTACCAGAGGAAATGATTCCTAACTTGCCTATCTCTGGAAGCCAATGGGGCCCAGCACTTATTAGACCCCTGGAATGGCAGAGAACAGAGGCAGCTTTAAACAGGCACTCAAGCATTTCCCATGCTTCTCCCCACTGGCTTAGCACACAGTGAGCAGGTGACAAAGCTCAGCTCCTAGCTTTTCCCTAGAAGGGGTTAGATTGCACATCAAAAGCCCTGACTTTTTCAGCTGCTGCCCAAGGGTCTGGCTTATAACAAGCCTGTATCTGGAAGTCAACAGGGCAGGCAATTACTAGTCCCCAGGGAGTTTAAATGGGTATGTAGGCACTTCCTACAGCTCCTTCCTCCAGCTCACTCTGGCAAAGAAACTAAACCTTTAGCTTCTTCCTGGAAGGAGTTGGACTACACAACAAATGCTCTGATTTTTTTCATCTGCTGCTTGGGAGTGTAGTTACTAACTCACCTAACTGGGGAGCTGATAGGGCCCAATATTCGCTGGTCACTTGGAGTCTCCAGAGAACAAAGCAGTGGTTTTGAATGGCCTTGCAGGCTCGTCCCATGACTCCTCCTGCCAGCTTATTTTACCAAAATGCACAGCTCTCAGATTCTCCCTGGGAGGGGTTACACTATACATCTAGTACCTTGACTTTTCCAGCTGCTACCCATGGATCTGGCTTCTGACTTGCCTGTTTCTTGGAGCTAACAGGGCAGGCAGTCACTAGTCACTGGGAGTTTAAATGAATGTGAGGATACTTCCCAGGGCTCCTCCCCACAAATCATTCCAGAAATAAAACCAAGCCTATAGCTTCTCCTTAGAAGAGCTTAAACTACCCATCTAGACCTTTAAATTTTCTAGTCGCTACCAGAGGGACTGGCCTCTAGCTTGTCTGTTCCAAGAACTGAGGGCCTAGCATTTACTAGACCCCCTAGAGGTGACAAAGAGTAAAGCAATGATTTAAAACAGCCTGCGTCTGAGTGAGCATTACAGGCATTTGCCACAGTTCCTCTTCCTGGCTCAGTGCAGAGCAAGTGGGTGATAAACTCCAGTTCCCAGCTTCTTCCTAAGGACATTAATATGCATTAAGGACAGCTGGAGATGCATAAGGAGAGCTGGAATAAATTGATGCATTAGAACACGTACCTAATGCATCATTTATTCCAACTGCTACTCAAGAGACTGGCTCCAATCTTGCCAATCTTAGGACTCTCTTAGGGTTTAGCATACTCTAGTACCCTGGGCCCACTAAGGAAACAGATGGCAGTTTGGAAGCACGAAGGAATAGGTAGCATCCAGAATCTCTAGCTAGCCTAATGGATGAAGATTGACTCTTATAGACATCAGTCTGTGAAGACTAAGAGAGGTGGTTGTTCTATAAAATGTGCAGAAACTAACACAAAGAATCAAAGAAAATGAAAATATGTTCCAAATAAAAGAACAAGATAAATCTTCAGAAACCTACCTTAATGAAATGGAGACATGTGATTTACCCAACAGAGAATTCAAAATGTTGATCATGAAGATGTTCACAATAGTTAGGAGAGAAATGCATGAACAATGTGAGAATCTTGACAAAGGGATAGAAAATATTTAAAAATACCAAATAGAAATAATAGACCTGAAGAATACAATAACTGAACTGAAAAATTCAATATGAGGTTTCAACAGCAGATTTGATTAAGCAGAAGAAAGGAGAAGTAAAGTCAAAGACAGCTCACTGGAAATCCTCTAGTCAGAGGAGCAAAAAGGAAAAAAAAAGAATAAAAAACAGTGAAGATATATTAAGAGAATTACAGGGTAACATCAAGTGGCAATATATGCATTATGAAACTCACAGAAGGAGAACCAGAAAACTCATTCAGAGAAATAATGGCTGAAAAATTCCCAAACCTGGGGAAGGAAATAAGAC